>NC_000006.12:164010183-164161699 GCF_000001405.40 Homo sapiens
TGGTCTCAAGGATATGTCATCCAGAAGTTAAACTCGGCTTTTCATTTGATAAAACACGTATTTATATCCTAGGTTACTTTGCCAATAAAAGTAGCAAATGTGGTGGATAACCCGCCAAGGTACGTTCCAGGTTCCCTGACAAAGTCACATTTCTGTGTTTTACAGAATTTCTACAGTGTATAGCACTGTGGCTTATTCAGGAATGCCGATGGGAAGATAAGAGAAAGGAGGAATGAACAAGAACAGAACTAGGTGGTTTTGTGGATGAAAGCTTTCTATCCCCAGTGAAGATGGGTCCAGCCTCCCCCGGCCCTTTGTTTCCGATGCATTCATGTTGTCTTCTATTCTCAGAGCCTGGCTGCCCTCTGCCAACTGTCTGTAGCCGTGGAGGCCTGCCTTGGGAACACTCCGAAGCTTCCCAGTTCCTGTGTTTGTGATACCACAGTGCTCTGGCCCGCAAAGCCCTGAATGGTGTCTTTGTAACAGCATGCAAGATATTTAAGATGCTAAGGGGGCCACATTACCAAAGAATGCCTTTAAAAAGAGGAAAATTAAATGACCAATAAAGAAGGAATCCTCACAAGTTCCTATTGTATCTTATAAAAGGAAGCACTGATGTATTTAGGTCTAACTCCTCCAGGTCTTCAGGAAGTTGCCAAGCTCTCGCTCCCACCCCTCCCCTTCAATGGGAGCCAAGGCTGAAATCTAAGTCCAAATTAATGAATCTGTTTCTAAGTTGGGGAAGGAGCAAGTGAACCACAGCTGTGAGTCTTGGGTCACTGGGGATTTCTGTTTCAAATGCAGCCAGGATAGAATCTCTGAATTTATTTGATTTGGGAACAGGATAAGAAATTGATAATACCTGATTTGTAGATTAGCCCTGGAGGAGGAAATACTAATTTCAAGTATCATTCATCTTCCTTTTTATCTAGTCTCTTCAAGCTGTAATGAAATTAACCGAGGACTGAGTCCAGCTTGTGGAAGCCTCAGAGGAGTTTGCACATTGAACTGGCAAATTAATCTGTGAACAGCCCACAGTTCAGCATTTATTTAGTCAATATTCAGTGAATAATAAAGGTGGAAAGCACATTTTTTATTTGTCCATTTACTCGTGGAAATATTTTCAATCAAGACTACACCTTGAGATTTATTTCTCATTTCAAAAATCATGAATTTTCCACCTAATTGCAATTTTTTTTCTCCGATGAAAACCTGAGCCATTCAAGTAAATTTATTTACAAGTTAAACTTAGCAGACTGATTTGGAAGGAGAATTAGAGCAGGACTCAGGAGATAAGAAATATGTTCATTTCAGTGGAGAAGTTTATCATGGAATGGCCCCAAAGAGTTGTGTAATTAGTGTAATATGAGATATTATATAATAAACAGATATAAACTATTAAAATTCTGCATAAAATAGAATTTCGGAATCTGGAGATCATTAGGAAATTTCTGCCCTTTGAGTATATTATAAATGGGATGAAATTATTGTATATTATGCCTCTCCACATTCCTGTGAGGCCAATGGGTATTAACAATATATTAATTTATTCGATGAATGGTGAGAATGTATAGTGTCATATTTATTGGATGGAATTTGGACCCAGTCAACTGGGCTTGAATTCTGGCTCTATCACTTATTATCTGTGTGAACTTGAGCAGGTCACTTGAATTCTCTGAGCCTCAGTGTCTTATCTGTGTAGTAGGGAATATAATAAATAAATGATGGGTAATTGTCCAGGTTTAAATGACATAATTGACTAGAACCGTGCCTGGGATATAGAAAGCACTATATAAGGAATTCTTGTTAAAATGATACACCATATTCTGTACTACGCTTTTGAAATAGTAAGACCAAGACATCATTTTCAGGGAACTCATAGTAAGTAAGGAAATATGTAAGCAATTAAAAATAAAAGCAGCATTAAAAATTTTGGCATACAAGTCCAAAAAAAAAAAAAAAAAGGTATGAAGTCAGGGAGAACTGTCTTAGAGAAGGTATATGAAGACGACAGAATTGAAGAGAAAGCCAGCCGTGTGTGCACAGGAAGCAGTGATTGTGTTTGGATTCACACATGTTGAGAAAATAGATAATTAATCAGTGAATATTTGATTCATAAAAAATGACTGAAAGAGTGAATAAACAAATGAATAGAAAACAAAAACAAAAACGAATGAATGGAATTGCAACCAGACATGTATGTGCTCAAGTAAAGGGGGCAGAGGAACTCACTGCTGTGTTCTGGGAGAATTCCTAAGTTTATTGGAGACTTTGTAGGTGTTTTGTTGTTTGTTTTTGGACTTGTATGCCAAAATTTTTAATGCTGCATTATTTTTAATTGCTTACATATTTCCTTAATGTGCTATTATATAAGTTCCTTGAAAATGGTGACTTGGTCTTACTATTTCAAATGCCTAGTACAGAATATGGTATATCATTTTAACGAGAAGAATTCCTGATACGGTGCTTTCTATATCCCAGCACTGTTCTAGTCAATTATGTCATTTAAACCCGGGCAATCAGCCATCACTGATTTATTATTTTCCTTACTACGCAGATAAGAAACTGAGGCTCAGAGAGTTCAAGTGATTTGCTCAAGTTCACACAGATAAGAAGTGATAGTGTAGCAGGACAAACGGCAGACAAAACCCCTCAGACACCGAGTTAAAGAAGGAAGGGCTTTATTCGGCCGGGAGCTTCGGCAAGACTCATGTCTCCAACAACCGAGCTCCCCAAGTGAGCAATTCCTGTCCCTTTTAAGGGCTCACAACTCTAAGGGGGTCCGTGTGAGAGGGTCGTGATCGATTGAGCAAGCAGGGGGTACATGAGTAGGGGCTGCATGCACCAGTAATCAGAAAGGAACAGAACAAGACAGGGATTTTCACAATGCTTTTCCATACAATGTCTGGAATCTATAGATACCATAACCGGTTAGGTCAGGGGTCGATTTTTAACTACCAGGCCCAGGACGCGGCGCCAGGCTGTCTGCCTGTGGATTTCATTTCTGCCTTTTAGTTTTTACTTCTTCTTTCTTTGGAGGCAGAAATTGGGCATAAGACAATATGTGGGGTGGTCTCCTCCCTTAATGGAGCCAGAATTCAAGCCCAGTTGACTGGGTCCAAATTCCATTCAATAAGCATGACACTATACGTTCTCACCATTTATTAAATAAATTAATGAATTGATAATTCATTAATTTAACCATTGAGGTCAATTTAACATTGAAGGTTAATTTAACATTAACCTTCAATCCATCCTAGATCCAATGTTTAGAGCTGGAAGAGACATTAGAGATCATCAGGCATAGCCAAAATAAAAAACTCCAAAAAGTCTAAGATCAAAGACTTTGTGGTTAGAGCTAGAATCTTGGTCTGCTCAATCTGTCAATTCTCATATCATGTGGTCTCTCTGTAAGTTTCTCTACAATGAATGATTCCCATTGGAGAAAGAAGTTGCCGTGGGTCAGGAGGGTTAAAAAATAACCCTTTCCCAGAGAGAGGGAGTCTCTAGGAAATAATTTTCTGAGATAACATGCGTCGTGAATCACTCATAATTCCCTGCTTCGATGAGTAATAAGCAGAGTGTTTCTCCCATGTTCTGTTCTTGGAAATGTATCTTGGAATAACTTACATTCAAGGAAGGATAAAGAGGTTAAACTTTTAGGTTTTAATTCTAATGAGGGACACTGGTTCCCTACTCTGATGGCAAAGCTTGTTGTATACCCTGCGGCATGTTTCAAGAAGCCCTTTGAGTTCTTCTGGTTTATGAGTTGTCTCCAAGGCAGGAGGTAGAGCAGGAGCCCCAGGGTACAGGCTCACCCACACAGCAAAGCAAGAGCTTATCAGAGCTGCCCTCCAGGCTGTTGGGTTTTGTTTGGATGCTGCAATAATTTCTGCTGATGAAAGAGAGTAGACTGCCCTCTGGAGCAGCTGTTTTACTGCCCCTCTAGGAGAATGGGCTCTGGACTTTTCAATTTCCCCAGAGTAGTATAATCCTCCAACAACAGTGAGGTCTGACAGGGTTGCCAAACCTGTATTTTGCCAACAAGGACATTATAAACTAAACCAAGAAGATACGACTATTACCTCATATATATCATTAGAATTTCATAAGACATTTAACATTTCACATGAAAAAAGAGGGAAGAAAGTTAAATTTGGAAAAATAAGACAATGCTTATGACTATATTTAGCTTTATAGAAAACTCTCTACATTGTCATTATTTTTCTCATCTCACCATGAACGAATAAAGATTTTGGCAAGGATCAGTCATGGTTCCCCAAACAGTTTTTGCGTCTGATCTCAGGACCCAAAATTTAAATGCAAGAAGGATGTTGTATTTTCTCAGCCTGACTGTCAATAGTACCAATTCACAGCCAGCAACAACTGTTCACAATGGAAGGACGCCATCATTCCTTCAGACAAACGAATCTCTCTTCTTTCTTTACCTACTTCCCTAAAAACACTTCTGTGTGTTCACAGTATTGCCGAATCTTGGACCCACATCATCCTGCTCTCCTACTGAGGTGTTCTGTTGGCCTCCAGCTGAGGCAGGACAAGTCAGGAAGGTGGTCTTGGGCTGTAACAGCTCCCAGGACCCCCACTTGTAAGTGCTAATCCAGCGCTGAATCTTAGCTGTTCTGCACACTCTTCCCACGTTAGTTCCCAAATGTGCATTTGGCACAAGAATCCCAACAGCCAGTGCAACTGGCTTTCATCAGCAGGTTCACAGCTGTGGGGTTCCCGTTGCCGTCTGCATGTGGTTTTGGAGCGTGACGTGAGCCTGCATAGAGACACATCCATGCTTTCTGTTGTTTCCTTGTGAAGGCAAAGGCAGACCTATGAAATGAAACTATTGTCTTATTCACCTGTAATTATTTTTTTCTTAATTCTCTCTGACTTACCTAAATTGCGTCCTTCACTTTTTACTGGGTTTCTTGATTGGAGGGATATTGATGTTGGGAGAAAAGTGCCTTTTGACAATCTACTGAGCTGCAGCCTTCAGAGACCAAGATCCCAGGATGCTTGCCTCCTGCGGAGGAATTGTTCAGGTCTGCAAGTGTGGCCTTTGTTTGCTTTCAACTCACAGAACACTTGTGTTTGCGTAGGTACAATAGAAGGTGACAGTGATTCGAAATGCATTTTTGAGAGGCAATTACATACAAACAGGGCTTTGATCAGTGACACTATGTCTGTGCTCTTTAGCTTGAGTGACACAATTAGGTGCTTTTTTGTTTGGTTTTGAAGAACCCATTCAAGAACATACTGGAAACATGTGAGCAAGTGGATTTGTTGAAATATACTTATTTTTCAGCCTTTGATTCTTTGAGACAGGCATAGGGTGGAGGCCATAAACCACTTAACATATCAACCAATGTCTACCCTTGTCTTGCACTGTGTTGGGGCCTAGTCAGGAGATGCATAGGTAGTCACATGGTCACTCCTGACTTGGGAAGGGTCGGACCAGGAATGAGCCTCTGTCACAACGCAAACCCACTGCAGCCATGTCCGTGGCTTCTCCCAGACAGCCCTGCTGTATGGCCAAGAAGGCAAATGCAGTGGGCCCTTCTTAGAATGAGAGAAAACTACACTTCTAGGCTGTGCCTGGGTTCATGAAAACAAAATAGAGTCTCTGACTTATGTGATATGTCTCAGGGCATTCAGTTAGTCCTTTTTCTTAATATGTATTTATCCAGCACCTACTATTTACTGAGTGTTGGGGACACAAAGATCAAAGGCAGTCCCTGTCTTTACGTCAAGTCAGAAGATGAGAACAAATGACATAATCTTGTAATACTCAACAGAAATAGCATGTAGGGTACCAAGAAGGCATCAAGGGGGAACTTGGTGAGGTTTGAATGATGAATATACACCAGAAAGGGGAAGAATGTGTGTGTGTGTGTGTGCATGTATGTGTATGTGGGTGAGCCTGCATGTGTGTGCATGCATGTTCATGTGTATGCATGTATGTGTATATGGGTGAGCGTGACTGCATGCGTGTGCATGTATGTGTATGTGGGTGAGCCTGCCTGCATGTGTGTGCATGCACGTGCACATGCATGCATGTGCGTGGACAGGCATGTGTGTCCATGTATGTGTGAGTGTACATGCACATACATGTCTGCATATGTGTGCATGTGTGCACACGTGAGCATGCATGTGTGTATATGCATTAGTGTATTTACATGTGTGTATTTTTGCACAGATGTATTCTTAGTTTGCCTTTCTTCCTTTTTAACTACATTTATACCAATCGTGGTTTGCTTTGTGAGGAGTTTTGTTGTCAGGGTGCATCACCTCTCTGCCCTGACAAAGATCTGAGCACCTCCCAAAGACACGGTTTGCTGCCAGTCTCTCAACGGATGGTTACCTCCCACATAACACACTGTGCATTCCACAGGAACTGGAGGTGGCGTGGCATCATCCTTGCTCTCTCTGGACCCCTATGTGTCTTTCATCCATAAAATAAACAAGCAAAACAAAAGATAAGCCCCCAGCATCTTGGAAGCATGTGCTCCCAGATTGTTCCCAGTGTGGCCTCTCTGTGTTGAAGTTATCTGTTGTTCTCCAGGCAGTGCCAGAGTTCCACTGCCACATCCCTGTCTTTTCTCTGCACCAATACTCTGACCCCCATTCCTGGTAACTTTGCCATCCAGGTAAAGGGTTAGTGAGCCCCTATGTCTGTTTCTCGATTCCCTCATCTCCTGTAGAAGCTCTCCTCCTCCCACTTTTGCTGTCCACTTTCATGACCATTTCCTCATACTTTGTATGACCAATAACCACACTCCCTACAACATATTTAATTAAAGCTTCCCATTCTCTAACCCAGCCTTTTATCTTTCCAGCTCCCTTTGATGGTACTTCAGCACCAATAAGACTTCATGTAAACCCAGGCCTCCAATTCATTTTTTCTCCCCAGCTTTCAATGTCCCTCCCTCCCTGTATCTCCTGTTCCTCTCCTCACCCAGCTTCGATTTCATGGACCATTACTATTGCGACTCCTTTGAATACCTCCTCAGTGCCCTCGTCCCTCTATTTCTCCATTGCACTCTCTAAATAAACGCACAGTTTTAATTAAATCCAACTCTATTAGCTGTGTGCCCATACCAGGCCAGTTGAACGTGGCCTGGGAAAAATTACCTAATTGTGCTGTTGGTGGGAGGAGTGTCTCACCTTAAATTTCTTATCACGAATGCTAAGTGAATCCTCAGCACTGCCTGGCAATACTAGCACACCTCTCAGCTCAACTCACCTTATCTCCCGAATGTCCATTCCATACTTCTTCCTCTCGTTGGGTGCCCAATAGCCCCTCTGTCATTCTCAGTCCCAGCAGAGGACTTTACAACTTTTCTCTGAAAAAATAGAAATAATATATAGGAAAATTCCTCATGTTTTCATCATAAATCTGCCCATCTGTAATAATGCACTGAGAGCTGGTTTTATAACCCACACTTAAAATCCGACCAGTCACACAGGCCCAAATCTTGGTAGCTGTCCTTGATCTCTCTCTTCCTCTCATAGTTCCCATTCCCCCAGCAGACTGAGATCAGAAAATGCTTACACCCCCAAAATCCACTTTGAAGCCCGCTAAGTCCCACCTTCCACACCACACCCAAACCCAGTATCTTTGTGTCTCATCTGAGCCATTGCTATAAACTCTTGACTTAGTTGGCATTGAATTTGCCTACCATAAACTCCAATAAACCAGTGGCTTAAATTATTCTGTGTGAAGCTGATCCTTCACACAGGATAATTCCAGAGGTGGCACATTCCAGACTGCTGTGGAGAGTCTTATGGTTATCAGAGACCCAGGCTTCTGCCACCTTCCTGCTCTGCCATCCTAAAGTCAGCTCACTGCCCCTGATCCCTGTATCTCTCTGGTCATCACTGGACTCTTTTGATCAAGCCAGGAGGTGAAAGGAAGGCAAATACGATTCACGCCACATGCCTGTCTCCCTTGCCAGCAAAGTTCTCAGAAATCCAGAGCAACTTCTGATTACATCCCAATCAGCAACTCCTATCTGAAGAAGGGCAAGTAAATAGTTTCTGAGGTAGCTACATGACCATCCAGGAAAAACATTCCAAACTTCCTTGCTGAGTAAAAGAAAGAGATGTGTTGGCTGGGCAGGTCATCTGCAGTGCTTGCTGAGCCCACGCCTGGCTTCACTGCTTCTGTGATCCACGCCCCAGTCCATCCCCATGCAGCAGCCCACGTGATTTTAAACTGTAAATCAGGGCACATTACTCTCATCTTTAAATTATGAAGTAACTTCCCATCACACTTAAAATGAAATCAAAGGTTCTCACCAAGTCCTTCACGGTTCTTCATGATCAGGTCCCCAAATCAGCTCTGCTTATCCTCTCTTGGGCTCCTTCGTGCTGCTCCTCCCCAGCCACATTGTTTTCTAAACATACCAAGCTCATGTCCACGTCTGATGTCTTTGCACTTACTGGTTTTTCTACCAAGAACCCCGGCCGCCGGATGTTCACATTTCCTTCTCCCTCTCTTTAGTCATGTTCCTGCTAATCTCTTATCTGCTCTAATATCCGTTACCACGACCACCCTGTAATTCCCATCCTCTCCTCCATCATTTCATAGCCCAGCCTCATGGAGGTCCTCCATCTTGCCTAAATTCCAGCAGTGTTTTTATTTGTTTAATAATCATTGTCACCATCTGCACTACCTTCTAGCTCCATGAAGGCAGGGAGTCTGCCTTGTCCACCAATTCCTAGAATGGTGCCAGAGTCTAATAGGGGCTAAAAAATTGTTGAATGAGAGAATTAATGAATTCTAATTTTGAGGCATTGGTTTTGCTTTATTTGTAAAATCTAAAAAGCCTTGTTAAAAGAACATCTCTATAATTTAGAAAAACTTAAAAGATGCTGCTAAAACTTTGCAAACTTCAGCTTAATTAATACATTTTCTTGCAAACGTGAGGTTTAAGATACTAACAGGAGGTTGTCCATGAGCATACTTGAGTATATTGGCTTTCTAGAGGTTATCAGAAACAATAACACTAGTATTTTGAAGTATACTATTGAATGCATATCAATTGAACACATATTGTACATGTTAATTACGAACTGTACATTCCATTTTATTTAGACATATGGCTAGTTTACTTAGGTGATGATATTTAACTATTTTACATTTGCATGAAAGACTTCTTGCAATTTAGAAACCATTGTAATACATTTCTGCTGTTAATGCAGTTTTTAAAAAGTGACTCATTTGAGTATGTAGCCATGGAGATTAAGCAAAATATAACACAGGCAAAAAGTTAAAAAACAAAAAAAAACTCTATTCATCAACAAGAGGCATGCTCTGAGGTTCCTTAGATTACTGAAATCTAACAAATTGGATAGCTTACAAAAATCTGAAAACTAACATCCAGTCGGAGTCGCTAGCAAGTTTATGTAAAGTCATTGACCCGGACCCAAGGGTAGACCTCTTGAACACAATCAATACAGGTGCAATCAGGTAAGAACATTCTACTGTTTTATTAAAGTGCATCTAATTCAAAACTCAATAACCCTCACACATCCTTAATCAGAGACGACATCCTGGGAGGTATTTCCATGAGTGATCTTAAAACTCTGGCTTTTGGTTTGTTAGCAAGACTTTCTGCAAATAAGAATCTCGGAATTCTGTTTCTTTTCGCCTCCACGGAACGCCTGTCACCCTCCTCTCCTTGCCTCCGTGTTTTCGACTGTAGTGAACATGCTGAAGCCGTCCGCCCCTTTCCCTTTACAATGGAAAGGAATTCTCTGGGGTGGGCTTGGAAAAGTGGAGTCATCCTCCTTGGAAAGTAGACACCTGAGAGGGCGCGGTGTCCCTGGGCTTAGCGCTGCGCACAGCCCTCCCCTCCCTCTAGGCCTCTGAACGGCAGCACCTGCGAGAATCCCAACGAAGGACGAAGCCAGGAGGCAGGGATCTTGTTTTCAGAAGGAATATGAACCAAAATATGGTCAGAACAAGAGAATGGCTGGCGCGCAGGCCTGGCACGCGGGATCTTCTTGGCGGTGGCTGCAGCTTTTCGGGGCCTGCCTGGCGCGTTCCGCTGTCATACGTGAGGAGTTGCCATTTGGAAGCATTGAGGGGAACCTGGATTCATCTTCATGTGGTTAACCTGAAGTGTATTGCGAATATGAGGGCTCATATTCAAGGGTACGGATGTGTCTCAGCTGGGCAGGGCACTCGCTAACCCCCAGCTGGGGCGGGAGCAGGGGTACCTGCGGCACCAGAGGTACGTGGGGCCTGGCCCCGGCTGCGCGGCAGCTTCTCCTTTGCAAACAAAAGTCCAGAGCATTCATTCTTAACACTGCCTCCACCGAGAGACGTCTTTGACCTTTTCCAGGGTAAAGGGCAGCAACGCCAACACCTTCTCCCAAAGCACAGCACGTCTCCTTTTTGGCAGGTGATTGATCTGCCTGCTCTACCTTGGACACCGAGCTCTGTCCACGCAGGAGGCTAAGCCCACGGGAACCGAGCGTTTCATCAGGGTCATGCGCCATGGTTAGGAGACTTTCTTTCTTTCTTTTTTTTATTGCACACTTTATTTTCATCTGCATCCAGTTAGCAATATGGTGAGAATTAATATGCATTGGAATTAAAACACTCAGCTCGCTCATTTATACAGCATTTACCAGGAGCCTCTTGTGCTTGGAACACGGCTAGGTGTTCGCCTGGACCCACTGAAAGCATGCCCCCTGCTCCTCAGAGGCACCAAGTTCAGCAGGAGTGAGGCAAGCAGAAAAGAAGTTAACAGAAAAACAGGAGTGCGCTTTGCTGAGGAAGGACAAAAGAAAGAGCATCAGGCCACAGAGGCTGATGCTGATGAATACGTCACACCCAGAGCGTTTTATACACGTAGATTCCAGTGTGAATGGCTATGGTAATGACACCTGCCAGAATTGTGCAGTGAACAACCTGGGCAGCAGTATGTTGTGGTCCAGAGAGTAGTAGAGTTTTCTCTAGAGAAGCTCTGGAATAGCCTCACAACCAAAGGAGGTAAGATGGTAGAACAAATAGAAATTGACCAGGATATGAGGAAGGAAAGAGGTATTGCAGACAGAGCCGACAACAAATGGAGCAGCTCAGAGCCTTGGGAGAGTTCTGTATCAGTTAGTAACTTTGTGCTGTGTGAGCCAGTCCTGTCACAACGTAGCTATGTTATGCTGGTATCTAGGCGGGGAAAGTTGTAACTAGCCCCAGAGTGGTAGAAGGAGATACACTGTTCCACAAAATGAAGAATTTTTTTTACCATAATCCCAGAATTCCTCATAAGGAGCTCATGGTGTTAGGAAGAGTCATGGTATTAAGGGGACTTGGGACTCCTGGGGCAGCTCAAGGACCAGGAGGAACTCACAAAGAATTTGCTTTGCTGCTTGGCAAGGAGAGGGAGAACACACACAGTACATGCACACACACACACACACACGCAGGCACAAATGCACACACACAAACACATGCACACAAACACACAAACGCTCACAAACACGTGCATGCACACACAAATACACACACGCACACACAAATGCACAAACATAAACACACATGCACACACACACATGCACGCACATGCACACACACGCACACACACAAATACACGTGCACCCCCCACTCCCCCCACACAAACACACATGCACACACAAATGCACAAACACACAAACATGCACACACACAAATGCACACACATGCACACAAACACACACACACATGCACACACACAAACACACGTGCACTCCCCCCCCACCACACACACACATATGGTGAGGGGAGGAGACATCGGCCTGGATGGGGGTTAAGAAACAAAGTGTTTACGCTGATTTCTGTGGGGGCGTGGTTTCTGGTTCCTGCCTCTGCCAGGAGGGGAGGGGATGAGTAGCTTATTTTCATGGAATGTAAAAAACTGCTGATTTCTACAGTACGTGGATGTGTGGGAGGAACTGGGGGAGCAGAGAAGGGCGTCAGAGTAGGTCACATTGGACTCCTCTTCAGGGCTATGGCAGGAGCAGAAGTGTGGGATTTATAGATGCGAATTTATAGATGAGAAGGTGGAATTTATAGATGAGAATTTGAGACTCATCTTTCAGAAATAACAGTAGTAATTTTTAAAATGTCTAATACTTATGTAGGCACTATTCTTAGCACCCTGTGTGTACCGATTCCTTTATATTTGCAACAATCTCTTGTAAGGAGGTTCTATTATTACTCCTGTTTTCAAGGCGAGGAAATGGAGGCAGAGATTTCAGATGACTTGCCTGTGGTTACACAGGTGAGAGCTGCAGAGCCGTCTGACACTAGAACTTGTGTTGTTCATTGTGACATTATGTTGGAAGTTGAATATGTCGGAGTAGAAGGGATTTCTGAGAGAACGGAGGAGGAAAAGAAGGAGGAAGAGGAGAATGGAATTTTGGAGAATACCTACATTTGTGCTGCGTTATGGGGCTATGAAGGAAACAGGCCACGGGAGGGAAGAGGGTACCTTTTGGTCTAGAAGGTTCAGCCTTTCTCCTCTATTCCCGCATGCAGCCTGCGATCTAGGGCCAGCCATGACCAAACGCTCGTGCCTCATCTGCTTCCCTCCAGCTCCTCAGACTCGCCCTTCAGGGCGCCTGCTGTTCAGAGCCTGCATGGGAATCCGCATGAGGTCATATTTTGCCTGGAGAGCAGTGGACGCCACAGTGCACCATGGCCAAGATCCATCTCCCAATCCTGACTGCAAGTTTCTCGGAGCCGGAGCACAAATTTGCCATGCATTCTTTTGTTCATTCTTTTATTACTGTGTATTCATTCGCAGGTGATATGCATATGTCTGTGCGGTGGAAGGCTGAAAATGACTTGATTCCTTCTTAGGGCATTTGGAATCTAGTCTGAGAGTCTGGAATATTTGGTTCCTAATGAACCATAGAAATATCGTTGAAATATTTCCCCATTCCACTAATCATTAGGCTGAGGCTGACAAAACCATTACATGTTAAGATTTTTAAATGGTCTCTGTAAATGAAGAAAACACACTCAGAATTCACAGGAGAGAGATATAAGCACAGGACATAAAATGCCCAGAAGTACCAAGGACATTCTAGTTTTAGAATAAAGAGCCCAGTGTCCAAGCATGAGGTGGATCTGCAGTGCCCCTGGGGCTGAGCCAGTGCTCCCCATGCCCCCGAGCTCCCCAAAGAGTTTCCACTGGGTGAAGCTTTGATACCAGGCAGCCTCTCTTCTGATTCTTTGGAGAATTTTTATAGTTTTAATTGCAACTGATTTCTTAGAACTAATAAAGTAGGTTTATGACAATTGTAGTAAAAGTTAATTCACAACTCCTGTCTAATGAGCAAGGTTCTCTCCTCCAGGGGGAATGATTCCTGAATTCTTTTCATCTTTGCAGACACGGCGAGCCTGGGTAGGAACTAGAACTTGTTCGAAGAGCATATTGTCAGGAAGCTGACAGGATTTACCTAGAGAAATGGGAAGCACAGGTGCACAGATTTCGTTTTGTCCTGTGGGGAATTAAAATCTATTTTTAATCGGTGCAGTAGCAGAGGAGAACCCTGTGTGTGCTTACTATGAACAGTGGCAGCTGACGGAAGCCTGGCAGTTGTCATTCCAGTACTGGTTCTTAAAAAATATCAAATCCTCAGCTGAAAAATCTGGACAGAAGAGTAGTAGCAAACATTTATTGAGCACTTACATGCCTGGTACTGTGGGCTTCATTTGCATTATTTTATTCCTTTTCACGTCAATGCTATGAAGGTGCTATTATTATCCATAAGGCAACAAAGGACCTGAAGGATTTAAGCAACTTCCGTAAGTTCTGGAGGCTGTGATAAAAACCTCCATGTGAACACCAGGCTGATACATTCTCTACAACTTCACTCCATCTATCCTCCCTGTGTGGGACTGCCAGACTTACCTAGAACCCCATGAAATCCCCCTTTCTACAACACTGTGCACCCTTCCAGAAACACAACTTTCATCTCTGTGCAGGTCAGACGCAGTCCCCAGCAGGGAGCTTGTCCTATGAATCGGCATTCAATCAATATTGGTCAAATGAATGCATGGGTGGATGGGTGGATGAGAACAGTGTATCTCACTAAATTTTCTACCATGTTAGTCTGTGACCAGAAGCCATCTGGGATGAATGTGCAGGAGTTTGGTCAATAGAGATTTGGGAGAAGCATCTCTACTTACAACAGATGTTAACCTTTCGAGAAAGTATGTGGTTGGTTGCCTGCATATTTGATGAAGCAAATATCGGTGAAGTAGCTAAATCCCAGTTCATTGTGGAGAAACACTCAATTCATAAAATCCTTTTAATTGTGACTGGGAAAGAAGGCAAATTAAGAAGAGTTCAATAGTGTGAACACTTATAATACAAGGCAAAAGAAATATTAAATCAGGGAATATATTAGTAATAAACAAGTTGAATAGAAACATATAATAGACGCTCAATAATGCTTCGTCTAATAAATGTCTGTTGAATTGGATTTAATATGCCCTAATGAAATGGGCTTGTATTTTAGTTTTAGTTCTATGTTCTGGGGTTTTTATTACATGAAAATACGGCATATGATATTTATAAGTACAGGGAAAAGCATAGCCGATCTGAATTATTTCACTATCTTGTCATTCCTGTCCGTAAATTATTCTCTCCTATTTTGAAGACCCCGATTCTCATACTGCAGTTTCTAACACGTGACTATGGTGGTGATGTGTCATTTACTGAGACAAGCAGCCTTCTTTCCTCATGGAAGGACACCCCCATTTTTGGAGAGATCAAACATCTGAGCTCAAGAGCTCAAGAGGACAGCAAACATCTCCTTAAAGTCCTACACAGCTGCAAAGCAAACACTGCTCCATCCTGGGGACGAGGGGAGGGGAGAACACATTGTCCACCTTTAGACTTGCATGTAAGCACGATGGACCCCAGCTTCCTCCTGGGGTGAGCTTGGCTTAGAAACTTCACCCCTCTACTTCTCTTCCCTCCAGGGACACATTAGGGGAAGGCGTGGTGTTGAAGGGGGAATGAAACTACTGACTGCTGCAAAAAGCAAGAGTACTGCCTGGCTCCCAGGAGGGTGTGGGAAATCTGCGTTTCTTATATTAGGATGGTGTGAATCCTGAACATAAAACTCCTATCGTCAAATGTCATTATGTTCTAGTGCTTCATGATAGGTTAATAATATCAGACTGTAAGAATATCCCGTACCAAACTGCGGAGGGAACTCACCCTGAGGAACTAAATGAACTCACATTTGTTTAGTGTCTTGTGGGTATCACGTGTTATGCTAGGCCCTTTCCATGTTTTATTTAATTCTTGAAGGTATCTCATCAGTTAGAATAGCTTTGTCTATGTTTCACATCTGGGAAGGAGAGGTAAAGTTCTCTCTCCAAGATCATATTTACTAAATGAATTCTAAAACCCATGTCCTTTCTCTGTACCTTATTGTCCATAATTATTCCAGAAATAAGGACAGAGATTTGGGATATGTTAAGCAAGTGATCTTTTTGTGAACTGAGCTTTCATTCCTCTTACATCTCCTCTTAAATTTTTGATTATGTATTTAACTCAAGAAATCAGTTTTACTTAGTTACCTTTTGCATACCACTCAAACTCTCTTGCTTCTCTAATATTGCATTTTGGGAGACTTTTCCTGACTTAGCTACCCCGACTCTGCCTACCAAATCCTATCTCTTTTCTTCTTCAAAATTTGATTGGCAATTTACCACCTTTATACAGCTTTCTCAGATTAATTCTACTGTTGAATTTACATATACAACATAAGATAACAATCAGATCTATTGAATATTTATGATTGTTGGCTGGGGTTTCATCAGGATTATTCTCTGTGTTGTGTTTAGTGGTTTATTTCACTTTAATATGAGCTCTGCAAGAGTTCAAGACTGTGCATGCTCATTCCTCTGTCCTAAGTGCCAAGTAGGGGCCTAGCAAATAGATGATACTTGGTACATACCATGGTTTTTAGTTAAATCAGTCAGTGTGGACATCAGGTTTGGGGTTATGTTATCATCTTTAAGTTTTTGTAGCATCTTTTGCATGAAGTTCAAAAGTCTTTCCCCCAGATTATATTCTTTTTTAGCCTGTTTCTCTTACTACTTTTAAGATTAATTACCTTGTCTCCACAATAGCTCTTTGCTGACTGTTTTACTGTCTGCACCATCAGGCTCCATACATCTAGACTATTACTATGGCAGGACTAGGAAAGGCAGCAGTTAGTGAGGCTTAGAATATTCCTGGAAGAAAACATGAATACTTGTTAGGGATAGGAATGTTTCTGAAATAATTAAATGTTTAACTGGAAGGGAAAATGTCTTCCTAGGTTTTTATTCTTTAATGTTAGATAACTCCACGTGGTGTGTGTGCACATGCATGCACATGTGTGTGTGTCGTGCATGTGTCTCTGTGTAGGCACGCACTTACGTGTGTGTGTGAGCTCATATGTGCATTTAGCCTGTGTTGAATGCCTTCTGATGTCTTCTCAATCATCCATCTCTACATTAAAATTTGGCCTCTGTTTTTCTTTTACAATACCTTGTTTTTCTTTCAGTACTCACAGAATAAAGCAAGATAGCAAATTATTTCACATTCCTATAGACATTTCTGTTTAGTATAGTGAATGAATGAATGAGAAGAAATGCTAATATTCTTGAAATACATGCGAATGTATGAGAATAAATGCTTATGTGACACTGAAGTAAAAGCATTCCAAATTGCTCCCTTGTTTCACATGCATAATTACTGGTTTCTTTTAATAAACTGGTGATCATATCATATTCTACAGCCAAATAGGAACTTCTAAAAGATTTTCACACTCATTGGTTATTAAAGTTTCCAAAGATCTAAATACTCATAACATCCTGAGCCTGTGATTTTCAACAACAAGGCTTTAAATTCTTCTGACATTTAACGGAATTTGCTGTGGTGTTAGAACAGTGTTCTACACAAAATGCATTATAGAACATTTGATTTCTCTCTGGAAAAAAAAAAGGTAGCAATAATGAACTCTTGAGAAAGGAAATCCAGTTCAATTGGATTTGAAATATGCATGTTAAAAATAGACTGTGTATCCATGAGCTGTTGGATGATACTTAATCAACAGTAATTGTTGTTCAAGCAAAGCATGCCCTTTCCATCCTGGGCTTAGCACTCCCTTGGATTAGCAGGATGTGCCATGCGCGGGGATTGTGGGGGCCTCACAATTGCTGTACTTCAACCTCTTTTAAGCCATTTGGAGGTAAAGGTCATGCCAAGTGCCACTGAAAAGATAATGTCCTACAGGTTGTCAGTAAAATCTGTGATATGATTTATTACCTGGAATCAAGTGTTAATTGGATGGCAGCTGTCTTTGAATGGATAATCTTTCTCTTTTCTTAATGCTGACAGATCAAGATGGAGATATTAGTTGAAATGAAGGAAGCCTCTTAGTCCTCCATGGATGTCTGAGGTTCGCTAATTGTTCCACCTCTGTTTATTTATTTATTTGTTCATTCTATTTAGGCAATTGCTCATTGAGCTGTCAAAAAGGGAAAAACAATTCCATGCTGAATGGAAAGCAGTCTGCCTTCCTGTCAATCAGGTTCAGTTTGGAAGCCCTTGCTGGAGAAGTGTGTTGCTGTTACTGCATCCAGCCTTTCCAATCTGCAACCTTTTCCCATTTGTCGTCTCCCAGTGCCCATCCACAGATGCCTATTCTTTCTTTTGTCACTTTAAAAAGGCCTGGTTTTGACTGATAGTCTAAATGCACGAAGTTATGGTGTGTATGGATTATTATTTTCCCATTTGTCAGACCTTCCAGAATATCCCTGCCATATCACATACACTCGAGTTGAGTTTGAGTCCAGACTCCCCAACCGGTAAACTTAGCTTATTCATCTGCATGAAGGGATAAATAATATGTTCCCATTGAGTTTTTTTTTTCTTTTTTTTCTTTTTTTTTTTTTTGGAATCTCGCTGTCGCCCAGGCTGGAGTGTAGTGGCACAATCTCAGCTCAATGCAAGCTCTGCTTCCTGGGTTCACACCATTCTCCTGCCTCATCCTCCCGAGTAGCTGGGACTACAGGTGCCCGCCACCACGCCCAGCTAATTTTTTGTATTTTTTTAGTAGAGACAGGGTTTCACCATGTTAGCCAAGATGGTCTCAATCTCCTGACCTCATGATCTGCCCGCCTCAGCCTCCCAAAGTGCTGGGGTTACAGGCGTGAGCCACCACGCCGGGCCCCCATTGGGTTTTTATGGAGATGAAGTGAGGTTATAAATAATTTGAAAATTCATAAATCATAAAGTGCTAATTACAGAAAAATGATGATTGCTAGAGGAATATAGACCTCATGGTATAGATTTAGGTTATCAGTCATCAGCCTGAGGGATGGATGGAGTATTCCATTGAACAGGGAGAAATTCTTGGTGATACCAAAATGAAACCTTGTAGGGCATCATTGCTAAAATTCCTGGCTCTGTGTCAAAACCAACTGCATTGTTTTTATTACATGTTTTTAGGTGCTTAATTTTAGAGAAGATATACCTTACCCTGTGTGTTTATGGTCTGGTATGAATTTGTTCCACAAAATTTATATGCTGAAACTTAATCCCAATGTGGTAGTATTAAGAGGCAGGGCCTTTAGGAGGTGATTAAATCATGAGAGTAAAGCCCTCATGAACGGTATTAGGGCCCTTATTAAAGGGCTTGAAGGAGTAAGTTCACCCCTTCTTGCTCCTCCACCTTCTACCATAAAAAACATAGCATTTGCCCCTCTACCATGTGAGGATGCAGCAATGAGGTGCCATCTGGAAAGCAAAGAGCAGCCCTCACTAGACAATGAGGAACCTCCCAGGACCCTAACCTTGGACTTCCCAGCCTCCAAAACTGTGAGAAATAAATTTATATTGAAACAGACTAAGAAAATAGAAATAATTCAGCTTTCTCTAATATTCAAATTAAATGATTTCTGGAGTCTATCTCATTTACTGTAAGGTTGACTTTCTTTCCCTTAGTGTTCTCCCTCGCTTCTCTGTTCCTCCATCCATCCATCCATCCATCCATCCATCTCTCTCTCTCTGGGGTACTTGGTTAACCCAAGGAGTTGGAACTGGGTACTTAGCACCTAGAGCAGAGAAAACCCGAAGGCTTGCTCACGCCACCAAGAAGTTCAGTTTTCTTCAATTGGAGTTTCTGCTACTGTTGAAATAGGAATGACCTGGTCACTCTAGTTGTCGCACTGTCCACTGCAAGGACACATCTGGTGACCACACACATAGTCCATCCCAGGTTGGACAGTAACTTCTCTGTGTGCCAGGTTTGAAAGGAAGAAGTGGAGTAGGTTGTGTTATGTCTAGTGGGTTCTTTCTACATCTCCACTGGCCTGGGCACCCAGTAATACTTCTGACATTTATTAGATTTGCAATGGTCTCCCAAAGGCATGGCCAAGATTTCAGGATGTCCACATCAGGGAGGTGTCTCAGCCTCAGCCCCACAGTGAACAGTGGCGGCTTCCTGCAGGATGGGTCTGACCCCTATGCCAGAACCCAGCACAAGTCAGCGTTCTCCACCTCTTCCCCAAGGGCTGCTTTTTTCCTCGGGGATCTCCAGTATCCTTTCTGCAAGGTTACATCTGCAGAGGTATTCTGACAAGGCTGAACCTCACAGGAGGAGGTAGGGGCTCCCAGTGGGTTCACTGGGCCTCTATGCAAACATACCTATATTTTCCAGTAATCCTTAAAGTTATGGTTTTTTCTTTGAAATTATGATCTTTTACCAAGTCTTCAACTGCCTTCTTACATCTTCTTCCAAGAAAAATCAAGAAAAGTGATTTCCTAACCCAAAAGGAACATGTTCTTTTTTGTTTTTTTTTTTCCCAAGAATAAAGAATGTATTTTCATGGCCTTACCAGCAGAATTAGAAGAGACTAGTAGATTTTCTTGCTAAGAAATTTGTAAAATTTGACTTCTCTAGGCACTCAGTGATAGTTTTACTAAAAAAAAAAAAAGTGTTTTCCAAATGTTTTATAATTTATAAACATTTTATCTAAAGCCTTGGGACAATGTTTAAGAATATGAACAAATATGTCATGTTTCATTTTCAGAAGTTATAAACAGCAAAATCATAAAAATTAAATGAAAGTTTAGAATTCTCAGATGCAATAAAACTGTTAAATACAATTAGCAAAGTGTTAAACACTATGGAAAATGAGGGAGTTATACAACTAAATGTGAAACTTGTCGATGTATTTTTCACTATGTGGTGATAACATTGTAAATAAAGGATGACTGGCTTTACATGCTAACCAAGAATGGGTTGCCATCATGGGGGTGCAGTTGTTACAGCTTCGCAGAGGAAATCTTCATCATGACTTATGGCTTTGCCCTTATCTTTATTGTCGTTTAGTAAGAACAGCAAGATACCTGGCCCAGTGTACAACGAGTGATTTTAAATGTATGTCTTCCACTATTAAGATACTGCAAAAAATTCTAGGCAAGACCAAATGTACCAAGAGGTTCGATTTAAAATTTTGTTAGTTTTACTTCAAATAAAATAGGAAATAAAAAGAATGTAAACATCTTTATATTTATGTTAATGTAAATATGACTTTATATTACTTACTATCTGAAATCAAAATATACCCAGGTTATTTAATCTCAGAGGCTATTCCTGTATTTTTTTAAAAAATGTATTACGTATGTACGTAATATCTACTTTTAGTATGTATTAAGTCTGCAGTGTAACAAGTAGTGCTTAGTATAGGTGGGAAAAGGTGAATGTGGCACAATCCCACCCTCAAGGAGCTTACACTCTAACAGGGCAATAGACACATAAACCTAACTGTAATACAAAGATAATGCATATGTGCATTTAAGGTCATTGATGATGCACAAAGGCAGCCATGGCCGATGTGGAACAACGGGGCATGGCAGTGTTCCAATAACGTTTTATTTACAAACTGGATTTGGCCTGTGGGCTACCATTTATGGATCCTTTTTCTAGCTTATTACCACACCAATTGGTACAAGTTTCAATCTAAGTAACCTTCAGGCGGGGAGGCAGCATCATTGTCAGTTAAAAAGAAATTGGGTTTGGATTCACACGTTTGGATCTAATTTTACTTCCTATTCTAGCTCCTATCTCACGGGAAAATAAATATGATAATGTATGTCAAAGCAGCATACACGTAGCAGGTATTCAGATAGTGTATGACGTTTACCTTTCATTCAGTGCCATAAAGTTCACTTCTTTTTTAAAAAACAAGGTAAAAACAGTATTTACTTCTTTCTCAGGAATATATAATGAGTCCTTGCTTACCGAATCTTGTGTATTCAAAATCATGTTCAAGTGCCTTCACATTCAGGTTACCTCACTGGTTTTATTTCCCACTGTGGTCCATTTGCAACTTTAAGCCATCAGGCTGGGGTGTTCTTTGTCTTAATGACACTACACCTGTTAATAAAAACGATAGCAGTGGCAACAATAACAATGACTACTGATGGATTCTTATGATCAGACATTGTGCTAAATTGTCCTGAAATCATCTGTGACATGGTTTGGGTCTGTGTCCCCACCAAATCTCAGGTGTTCCTGTAATCCCTAATGTTGGAGGTGGGGCCTGGTGGGAGGGGATTGGACCAGGGGCCTGGTTTCAGTTTCGGATGGATTAACACCCTCCGTCTTGGTATAATGACTGAATTCTCATGAGATCTCCTTGTTTAAAAGCATTTAGCTCTTCCCCCTCCCTCTTGGTTCCGCTTTTGCCATGTAAGACACCTGCTTCCACTTTACATTCCACCTTGAGTAAAAGCTCCCCAAGGCCCCCCAGGAGTAGAAGCCACCATGCTTCCCATACAGCCTGAGGAACCATGAGCCAATGAAACCTCTTGTCTTTTTTTTTTTTATACTTTAAGTTTTAGGGTACATGTGCACAACATGCAGGTTTGTTACATATGTATACATGTGCCATGTTGGTGTGCTGCACCCATTAACTCGTCATTTAACGTTAGGTATATCTCCTAATGCTATCCCTCCCCCCTCCCCCAACCCCACAACAGGCCCCGGTGTGTGATGTTCCCCTTCCTGTGTCCATGTGTTCTTATTGTTCAATTCCCACCTATGAGTGAGAAGATGCGGTGTTTGGTTTTTTGTCCTTGCCATAGTTTGCTGAGAATGGTGGTTTCCAGCTTCATCCATGTCCCTACAAAGGACATGAACTCATCATTTTTTATGGCTGCATAGTATCCCATGGTGTATATGTGCCACATTTTCTTAATCCAGTCTATCATTGTTGGACATTTGGGTTGGTTCCAAGTCTTTGCTATTGTGAATAGTGCTGCAATAAACATACTTGTGCATGTGTCTTTATAGCAGCATGATTTATAATCCTTTGGGTATATACCCAGTAATGGGATGGCTGGGTCAGATGGTATTTCTCGTTCTAGACCCCTGAGGAATCGCCACACTGACTTCCACAGTGGTTAAACTAGTTTACAGTCCCACCAACAGTGTAAAAGTGTTCTTATTTCTGAACATCCTCTCCAGCACCTGTTGTTTCCTGACTTTTTAATGATCGCCATTCTAACTGGTGTGAGATGGTATCTCATTGTGGTTTTGATTTGCATTTCTCTGATGGCCAGTGATGATGAGCATTTTTTCATGTGTCTTTTGGCTGCATAAATGTCTTCTTTTGAGAAGTGTCTGTTCATATCCTTCACCCACTTGTTGATGGGGTTGTTTGTTTTTTTCTTGTAAATTTGTTTGAGTTCATTGTAGATTCTGGATATTAGCCCTTTGTCAGATGAGTAGATTGCAAAAATTTTCTCCCATTCTGTAGGTTGCCTGTTCACTCTGATGGCTGTTTCTTTTGCTTTGCGGAAGCTCTTGAGTTGAATTAGATCCCATTTGTCAATTTTGGCTTTTGTTGCCTTTGCTTTTGGTGTTTTAGACATGAAGTCCTTGCCCACGCCTATGTCCTGAATGGTATTGCCTAGGTTTTCTTCTAGGGTTTTTATGGTTTTAGGTCTGACATTTAAGTCTTTAATCCATCTTGAATTAATTTTTGTATAAGGTGTAAGGAAGGGATCCAGTTTCAGCTTTCTACATATGGCTAGCCAGTTTTCCCAGCACGATTTATTAAATAGGGAATTGTTTCCCCATTTCTTGTTTTTGTCAGGTTTGTCAAAGATCAGATAGTTGTAGATATGGGACATTATTTCTGAGGGCTCTATTCTGTTCCATTGGTCTATATCTCTGTTTTGGTACTAGTACCATGCTGTTTTGGTTACTGTAGCCTTATAGTATAATTTGAAGTCAGGTAGCGTGATGCCTCCAGCTTTGTTCTTTTGGCCTAGGATTGACTTGGCAATGCGGGCTCTTTTTTGGTTCCATATGAACTTTAAAGTAGTTTTTTCCAATTCTGTGAAGAAAGTCATTGGTAGCTTGATGGGGATGGCATTGAATCTATAAATTACCTTGGGCATTATGGCCATTTTCACAATATTGATTCTTCCTACCCATGAGCATGGAATGTTTTTCCATTTGTTTGTATCCTCTTATATTTCAGTGAGCAGTGGTTTGTGGTTCTCCTTGAAGAGGTCCTTCACATCCCTTGTAAGTTGGATTCCTAGGTATTTTATTCTCTTTGAAGCAATTGTGATTGGGAGTTCACTCATGATTTGGCTCTCTGTCTGTTATTGGTGTATAAGAATGCTTGTGATTTTTGCACATTCATTTTGTATCCTGAGACTTTGCTGAAGTTGCTTATCAGCTTAAGGAGATTTTGGGCTGAGACGATGGGGTTTTCTAGATACACAATCACGTCATCTGCAAACAGGGACAATTTGACTTCCTCTTTTCCTAATCGAATACCCTTTATTTCCTTCTCCTGCCTGATTGCCCTGGCCAGAACTTCCAACACTATGTTGAATAGGAGTGGTGAGAGAGGGCGTCCCTGTCTTGTGCCAGTTTTCAAAGGGAATGCTTTCAGTTTTTGCCCATTCAGTATGATATTGGCTGTGGGTTTGTCATAGATAGCTCTTATTATTTTGAGATACATCCCATCAATACCTAATTTATTGAGAGTTTTTAGCATAAAGGGCTGTTGAATTTTGTCAAAGCCTTTTCTGCACCTATTGAGATAATCATGTGGTTTTTATCGTTGGTTCTGTGTATATGCTGGATTACGTTTACTGATTTGCATATGTTGAACCAACGTTGCATCCCAGGGATGAAGCCCACTTGATCATGGTGGATAAGCTTTTTGATGTGCTGCTGGGTTCGTTTTTCTTTATAAATTACCCAGTCTCAGGTATTTCTTTATAGCAACATGAGAATAGACCAATATAATCTTACTAACTACTTGAAACTCCCCATAATAGAAGCATTGTTGTTTTTATTCAAGAGACAATGGAAACAAGGATAACAGAAGTTAGGTTTCCAAAGGTAGATACCAAGTGAGCTGCAGAACTGGTTTTCAAACTCTTTTTGCTTCTCTGTAGCTTTTTAATTTCTCTTCCCTTGGTTTCCCTTATCTCCTTTTCACTCATCCAAATATGATCTAATTATCTTAAAGCTGTACTTTAATAAAACCATTCTGGAATTCTTCAGCTCCCTTTGATTTTCCCCTTCTCTGGCAGCTTACATCATTTGGAGTCATCACTGTATCAGTCTCTGTTTCTGGCATGAAAATGACCATTTTCATCCTCATGGTAGATGGCTCACATAACCCCTCTTTGTGTGTCCTGCTACTTGATGGACGTTATGGCCTTGCTCATTCCAAAGTTATTACTGTGCCCATGCCAGATGCCACGTGATATCAACAAGGAGAAACCAGAAGAGATGAGTTTAAAATGAGAGTGAGAGCAGATTTCTTGGGCATCTAAAGGAGCATAAGTCAAACTAGGATAGAGTGAACTTAATCTTTTTTAGGAGCCAAGAAAAATGATTCCAGACTGAGAGAAATAACCCGGATCCTTCAGAGATCCATGCTAAAGGCAAGAAGGAACCAATAGGAATTGTCCTCAAAGTCTAAACTCTTTATTTTTCTTTTTTTTCTTCCTTCCTTCCTTCCTTCCTTCCTTCCTTCCTTCCTTCCTTCCTTCCCTCTCTGTCTCTTTCTTTTTCTTTTTGAGACAGAGTCTCACTGTGTCGCTCAGGCTGGAGGTCAATGGTGCAATAACAGCTCACTGCAGCCTTGACCTCCGGGGTTCAGCAGATCCTCCCACCTCAGCGTCCCAGTATAGGGACTACAGATCTGCACCACCCTGTCCAGCTAACAGCCCATTTTTAAAATTTTTTGCAGAGATGGGGGAGGGGGGTCTTACTATATTGCCCAGGCTGGTCTTGAATTTCCGGCCTCCAGCTATCCTCCTGCCTCAGCCTCCCAAAGTGCTGGGATGCTAAGTGTGAGCTACTAGGCCAGCTGGATGTTCTTTACATAGGTCTAGTTTATGTAGGTCTAGTTACTTTAGGTAGGTCTAGTTTTTGAAATTGTAGCACACTTACTCCTCCCCAAGCACAGCAACATAGTGGGAAAAAATAAGAATATTTACGGCCTGGAGCTCTGTTGTGATGATTTATCACACTTCTGAGAATGGCCAGAAGAATTAAGGGCCAGGCCTAGAAAGGTGAGCTGGACTCCCAGAGCCACAGTGGTCAGGGTCAGGCATCTTCATCCCTCCACTTGCCCTGTGAGGAGCATTTTGTAATTACTTAGAATGCTGTGTGAGAACATGTAAGATACAAGTTCTTTTCATGTCATCAAAGGTGCCACTATTTTAGAGGTTACCAGGTGTCCAAAAATATAGGATGCACTTAATGCAATCTTTCCGTATAATGTAATCAGGGAGTGTGAGGAGTGTCTTGCTCTATTAAAGAACAGTGAAGCATGGGTCAAGACAGTCAAGCTGTTTTACTGCATCTAACTGTTCAGACTTCAGGAGGCCTTGGGAATCCGTGGTTGGATTTCATGAGTCACAGGTTTTATTACCTGTTCAACAGGTATTTTAAATAGCACTTGTTTTCCCTTTCATGTCAAACAGAAAATGAAATAAGCAGCTTTGAAAATGGTTACTTGGAGAGACAAAGGGAAGTGTCATGATGTCATCCTTTAAATTGGTTCAAAGAGATGCTGAGGGCAAACAGAGCCACTTGTCGGAGTCACAGGGGAGCAATAGAGATGAGGCTGTCGCACGAATGCTGTCCCTTGTAGGACAGAATTCAGATTACAGGGCAAGTACTAGATAGGCTAAGTAGACTGCCATTCGATATCAGGCAGCTGAGCTCTGTGTTTTAACACACTGCCTCTTTTAATGGGGTCCCTGGAGAATGTCTTCATGGCTGACCAAAAGCTAGAGGTAGCACACACTCTCTGGAGGCCTTATTTAATCTCCCTGTGTGATGTAGAGAAATCCATAGGCATTGCCAAGGAAACTACGATATTTGCAAGTTTCTACCAGACAGCAAGATTTCAGAGGAAACTGTTATAATTGGCATTTCTGAATAATGCTGGGGAAGGGAACAATCACCAGGAATGTGGTGAATTTGTCAACGACTCCTATGATATCAAGGCCTGCAGAAAGCTGAGATTTCATTTTTAGTATTGATTAAAAGCTCTACCCAGGCATTATTAAAAGGAAAGGAAATTCTGAGGGAAAAGCTCCTTTTCTCATTGAGAAGTGTTTTAGGATACAGTATTAACATGAAAATGATGATGAGAACAGTAGTAATAATAACAGCTAGAGAATTTATATATATTTTTTCTTTCTTCAAAATTTGATTATGGAAACCACAAGACAGGAAGTTGAATTCCTTTCTGGTAAGAATATATCAAATAGATGTCAAATAGATTTGATGCAGATTATAACAAAAAAGGAAGGGAATGCATATTAATTAAGCACTTACTGTGTGCTCAGTGCAGACAGATGTTTGACCTGCGTTAATGTATTTGATCTCTTTCCTGAATTTGGGATTGTAAAGGGGTTGTCAGAGAGACAGTTATTAGTTAAGATGGACCTCAACATTGAAATATGCTTTTGCCTTTGTGGCTATCCAGGGACCAGTGAAAACAATGCATGTGTCTTCCCTAGCATTGGGTCAAATTCAGCTGTTGCTTCTCACACACCGGACAGGATGCCGTGTAGCCCTCTGGTCTACCTCCTTTGAGACCACTGAGCGTGAGACAAGACTCAAAGTTAAGCAGAGGCCCGATCTGCAGGAAGGAAGCCGCTGGACCGCTGGTATTACAATCATCCCCTTCTGACCATGAACTGGCTTTTGATGAGTGTCGTTAGCCTTTGCTCAGAAGGAAAAAAAAAAGAGGTTTTTTTTTTAAACCATGAACAGACAGAAACATTTTACAGAAGTCCACTTTTGGTAAATGATCTCCTGGATCAGCAAGTAATCTCGACATCTTTCATATCATTTTTATACAAGATAAAGCTGTTTGAAGAGTTTAAGATGAAAATTGGGTGAAGTTCTGCGTTAAGCTTAGTAATGACATATCCAGAGCCACTGCAATCCCTAGATAATGAGGAAATAATAGGAGTGTGGAGGCAGTAAAGGATTCCAAGATTTGTTTCTTGTGTTCTAGAAAAGACTGAGAGCCTTTTAGGGAGATGGATGAGAGCTCACTGTGGGCTTATGGGCTGGCAGGAGCTGAGCCCTCGAGGGAAGCAGACTGGACCCCCTCCATGTGTGAACACAGAGACAGGCTTATTAGCACCAGGGCAGGTGGGTGCCACAGGACGTTTATTTTTTAAATGAAACAGATTAAAATGTTTTCCCAGAAGAACAGACTTCTGAGCTAGGTTTATGGAGAGTGGCTCTGGGTGCAGCCAAAGGGGTTACAGACCCCCTTCCCCCACCCACCACCATGTGCGCCAGGCTGGTTTCGGGGCTCTGACTCCCAGGTAGAGGAGCTTCTATCGGTGGCTGCAGGCCTGGGAGAGGTGGGCAGGGATGGGCCTAACGGTCTAAAGTCGAGGTGTAGAGAAAACCCTGGAAGGGGGGTCTGAAGTGTTCTGCTGGTGACTATGGGCAGGCAGAGATCAGTGGAGCAGTGGGAGGACAGAGATGGGGGCCAGACTCACCTCCATTTCTGGAGAGGTATTCCAAGCATTGAAATTCCTTCCTAATGAAGCTGGTACACCATTACTAACGAGATACTTTATTTTTGGGGGGATAAATGGGGATCAGAAGAGCTCAATACTAAGAAATTCAAAAAGCAAATTTCTTGGTCAACGTGGTGAGACCCCATCTCTACTAAAAATACAAAAATTAGTCGGGCATGGTGGCAGGCGCCTGTATCCCAGCCACTCGGGAGACTGAGGAGAATTGCTTGAACCCTGGAGGTGGAGGTTGCACTGTGCTGAGATCGCGCCATCACACTCCAGCCTGGGTGACAGAGCGAGACTCCATCTTAAAAAAAAAGCAAATTTCTGTGGTAGGTCCAGCTATGTAAATTGTGGGGCCCAATAAAAAAATGAAAATACAGGGCCTGCCTGTTGTTCAAAAAGCAGAAGGAAAGTACCATTACAGGTACTAAAATATGCATTTTTCTGTTTAAAATATTTTATTACTTATAAACATAATACTAACAGTGATACATGAGTAACAGCATGAACTTACAAATTGTGAAAAAATACTTTTGTTTCATAGTTTTACAGAGCATGATAAGTAACAATACTTTGTTAATGTGCTGTTTTGATTGATCATATGATTTTTCCTGCTCTATTTTCTGGAACCTTATTTATTAGATCATTGAAATTTATACTTTTAGTAACCTCATTTTCATTACATATGATTGAGAATGTTATCATTTGCTCTTGGAAAATGCAAGATCACACATAATTTTTTATTTTAATTTTGAGAAGGATCTTTCTGCTGATGCAATTATTACAGTAGCTGTTAAGAATATTTAGTAAGCTTTAACTCCATTGAGATAAAATTTTTGATAAATCATCCCAAAATACAAATTTTAGCATGGAGTTGATGATTATCTTTGAACAATTTTTCTAAAAGGATTTAACTCTTCATACAGATCAGGTTTTTGCAAATCTGAATTTAAGTGTAAATTTGTAAAATAACCATTTTAATGTCATTCTTCTGATATTGTCTGTAATTGGGGGCAGTTGTTTGAGAAATGGATAGTGGCTTCATGACTTGCATGTAATTTAAAATGCCTGTTTGCGGTGGCTCACGCCTGTAATCCCAGCACTTTGGGAGGCCGAGGCGGGCGGATCATGAGGTCAGGAGATTGAGACCATCCTGGCTAACACGGTGAAAGCCTGTCTCTACTAAAAAATAGAAAAAAATTGCCAGGCGTGGTGGTGGGCGTCTGTAGTCCCAGCTACTCGGGAGGCTGAGGCAGGAGAATGGCGTGAACCCAGGAGGCAGAGCTTGCAGTGAGCCGAGATCACGCCACTGCACTCCAGCCTGGGCGACAGAGCGATACTCTGTCTCAAAATAAATAAATAAATAAAAATAAAGAAGAAAACATTTGTCTTCCTTATTCATAACTGGTTTAGCTGAAGCTGCATAGGAAAACAGTGTTCTTTTCCATCAGATGTAAACATATTTAAATTTAATTTCTAAGAAAGATTATTCGTGCTGTATATCTGTAGACATTTGTTTTGCAGTGTTGTGCTAGCTTTCAAAACCAGAGATTCAAAACTCTTTAAAGAGTTTTCAAGCTTCATGGTGATGCCCACGCATGCACTTTTACTTTGTAATAATCTACTGACAGGTCTCGCTGGCTGCGCACTGGTAGTTCCTGTAGCGGAGCTCAGGCTGGAAAGCCAGTGGCAGAGGCTTTGCAAGGACGGGCTCCAGGTAGTGACGGCAACCAGCCCCCTCCACGTGTCCTGGCTCTGTCCTCGCGCAAAGCACCTCTCCTCTCCTGTGGCTGTGGCTGCCGCTATAGCTGCCATCTCTGCCACCAGCCCGGGTGCAGGTCACAGCTCCTCCGCCCGGTGGAGGCCCCGCAACACCGAGCAGCACCAAGGATTGGGTTCTGCTGTCTGCGCATGCGCCTTCACAGGGCTTGCGGGCTTGATCTTGCGCATGCGCAGGCCTCTGCTAGGCTAGGGCCACCTGGTGCTTCCCACCACGTCTTGCAGGCGCCCAGCTCAGTTCTCCTTCACTTGCAAAATTCAAGTTAAAAGATAAGACTAGTTCAAGACAAGGCAGCAGAGCATTCAGCCAAGCATAGGGGCCTGTGCCACTGCATTGATTGCACACCCAAGAAGCCAGCCCTATCAGGCAGGCAGGATCACCTGGGTGTCTGGAATAATTTCCCTTTTTGGAGAAACATATTCTTTAAGATGCAGGTGGAAAGCATGGAGAAGGACATCTGTGGAGGGCTTCCGAGTGGGGAATTATAAAAAGAGCGTCGGAGAGCAACTGAAATGAAGAGACTATGTTCAGATACATGGCCTAGGAGCCACTGATTAGAATTACACCTTTTTTTTTCCATAAACCACAATCACAATGTATTGTCAACACTTTCCACTTTGAGTTTCTTAAAAGAGGAGTTAGAAGTTGAAGATATTTCTAATGCCTTAAAGAAATTGAGCTTTTCCTTCCCTGATATTTCATACTTGCCTTTTCCTTACCTTATTTTAAAGCACCTATTTTTAGTGACTCAGCTTTGTAGTAATTTCTAGAACATTCAATTTGGTTTCTGGTGAGTTGGTTAAATGGAAATTGGTTAAGAAAGATTCCTCCACTGTCTACAGTGGGGGGACACATATTTATCTCCCAATGTCTTTTTATGAAGGTCTGTGCCCAATAACATTCACAGATGATTATTTTTGCTAAACTTAAAAGATGAACAACTGAGTTAAATAGTCCTCTTGTTCTATCTTTGATGATTCAGACATCTTTCCTCTTTCATTCTTTCTCATTCTACTTCGTTAACTTCCCGAATGCTTAGAAGCTCATCTATGGGAGAGTGAGATGCATATGAAATGGCTTTTCTGTTGGAAGAGTGCCCCACTAAGCCTGTGACATCATCCTGTGTGTGTGCCTGATCTGAGGACTTTACATTAAAATAATTTAATTTGGTGATGGTATTACCTGGCATTTGTTTGAGCTGAGTGGATTACAGGCTCTTCTTCTTCTAGCTAGTCTAAATTTTATTCTTGAACCAAACCAGCAGGTGAGTATTTAGAGTGCATTGTTTTAGTTCATAGTTGACTTGTTCCTATGAAATGGTGCTTTGGTGTCATGTCATTGGTACAAATTGATTGACCTCAAAAGAAATACTAGCAAACTATTTTTGCATTTATTATAGAGATTTTTTGGGACATCGTTCAATAAATCCTAAGTGTCTTTTTTATGAGGGTCCAAAATTTAAATCTCTTTATCATCATAGTGTTAGAAAAAAAGTTGTATTTATTTCAAGCAACTATTTCTTTGTATCTTGTCTGCTAGGATACTCAGAGTCACATCTTCTACCACCCTCTTTTTTTTTTGAGATGGAGTCTCACTCTGTTGCCCAGGCTGGAGTGCAGGGGCATGATCTCACCTCACTCCAACCTTTGCCTCCAAGGTTCAAGTGATCCTCCTGCCTCAGCCTCTGAGTAGCTGGGATTACAGGTATATGCCACCATGCCTGGTGAAGTCTACCATCTTATAATGACTGCATAGAAATACAAGGAATGAATACATTGACTTCACTTCTTTTTTTCCCTACTTATGTTTTTTCTTTACTCTGGTTTATGTTTATTTTTAAAAACCTTGCTATTACTTGTGTAATGATATAAATCATGTCAAACCATTGTTGTAATAGAGTGGAATTGAAACACATGAGCACAAACCCTCTGAAGAACTCATAAACCCTTTCATCTACTTACTTCATCTTCATGTGCTTAGTTGAATGATCAAGCATTCCTAAGGAGAGAGGCCTGTTTTCCCTGATGTTGGCAACTACAATTTCTTACAGCCAGATGGTACACATCTCAAAACATGGCCTTTCAAACACTCTGCTCATGAAGCTGAGGGAGAGGAAAGGAAAATTTATTGAGAGAGTCATAGCTTCAATCCACAGAGACAAAAGTATTGGTGTCATCAAATGCTGCACAGCCTAAAACTCTCTGAGGGCCCACGAGTCTGGCCTGGTGCCACAATAAGCCAACCGTTACCGTAGGGGAAATTCAGTGTGTCTGACAACATTTCCCACTCTAGTTCATATGCTCATGGTGTTCTTGGGGCGGCCATCCAGGCCTCAAGCCAAAATGAGGTTTCCCCACTGTGGCCACATCTCTTGATAGAATTCAGAGGTTCTGATAAGGTGCATATCTTCAGTCTGCAGACGTCCTCCCTATGTCACTGTGGTCATGCAAAGTGCTATCAATGTATTATGGTTAACATTTTGTGAAGAAAACTTTTTTGGATCACCTGCTATTACAGGCCCTGCTGAGGCCTGGGCCCAAAGGCTTTGTATTTCAGCATAGCCAGCTTGCTTTAATGCTCTATTTCCCAGCAGTTTCAAACTCACAAAGATGGCCAACAGTGGCAGATGGGACCTGACGCTTGAACTTGGGGAGCTTTCCTCCAACAGGATGAATCCATGGAAGATACCAGGCACATTCTCAAAAGAACAGAAGTTTAGCTGGTGGAAATGAGAGTAGGGTGGATGTAAGTTAAAATTGTTGATAAGTAAATACCCTGATTGGGTATTCCTGTCAGGTGCTGCTGTAAAAAATCTCTTAAAACACTGGGTGAAGTGGATAAATGGATTCCATTTAACAGAGCATTTACTGGGGTCTATTAGCTGACTATTACCTTAATGATTATATTATAGGCGGCAATGGGGCTGTCATCATAAAAGATGAAAATGATCAAGGAGAAAGAAGTATGAGCTCAGAAGAGGATGCAGCAATGTGATGAGACAGAGTTGTGCCTGTTGGCCTCCTTCAGTGAGAAGGCTGCATCTGAAATTATCACTGAAGCAGGAAAAACAGTGTCCTTATTCTTTTTGTTTATCCAAAAATGCAATAGCACACTGATGCATATGGAACCTGGGGCTATGAGAATTGTAAAAATTGACCTGGGATAGTTGTGTTGGGGTTATCAAACAGAATGCTGGTATTGGGAGGATCCTGGGACACATGGAGGTGTTAGATCAATTGGGGACTGTGGACTTCTTGTTTCCAGGTGAACCTTTTGAGGTGGGTGTGAGGGGTTGGTAAAACTTGAACTTGACCTTCCAGTGAGTCCAAATGGCTTTGACAAACATGTGGTGGGCAAGGCCTAAGAACAGAGAGTGAAATAACTAGGGAGCCCCAATGAAGTAGGAGAGTTAGATGTGCTCATGTCTCGGAAAGTAAGATGTCGAGGAGCCTCTAAGCAGGTGGTCCATGGTCTCATGTGGCCAGAGACTCAGAGCAGGGGATGGCATCTTGAAGGAGCAGAGAAAAGCTGAATGGGTCACAGAGACACTGGCAGACAATGAGGATGTGCAAAGTTGCCAATACATGGTGATATGGTTTGGCTCTGTGTCCCCAACCAAATCTCATCTTGTAGCTCCCATAATTCCCACATGTTGGGGGAGGGACCTGGTGAGAGACGATTGAATTATTAGGGTGGGTCTTTCCTGTGTTGTTTTTGTGATAGTGAATGGGTCTCACGAGATCTGATGGTTTTAAAAATGGGAGTTTCCCTGTACAAGCTTCTTCTCTCTTGCCGCCGCCATGTAAGAAGTGCCTTTCACCTTATTATGTTTTTGAGACAGAGTCTCACTCTGTTACCCAGACTATAGTGCAGTGACACAATCATAGTTCACTGCAGCCTCAACCTCCTAGGCTCAAGCGATCCTCCCACCTTAGCCTCCCAAGTAGTTAGGACTACAGGTATAGGCCACCACACCTGGCTAATTATTTTATTTTTTAGTTTTTCATAGATGGGGGTTTTACTTTGTTTGTAATGTTGTTCAGTTCATTCCTGAATGGAATCTTACAGATTGCCTTCCCTTTTTTTTTTTTGCTTTCCTAGAGAGACTTATACCTGTTTTTTACCAACCAAATTTTATAATTTTATGTTATAATAATTTTTATCTTTTCACTTGAATTCATTTGTAAAGAAAAAAGACTTGAAGGAAATGCACTATACTATGTTATTAGTGATTATCCCTGAAGGGTTAGCATGATGGTGGCCTCTCCAGTCTTCTGTATTGTTTAAATTGTCATCATAGAACACTTACTACTTTTATCATCAGATCTAATTGATGAATGCTATTTTTAAATTTTGTCTAAAAGTGACTATTCCTCTAATATCTTTTTTAAAACCATTAAACTTTCAGCTTCCTTCAATGCATGTACATACCCTTGTTGAAAAAAAAAGCTATAAAAAATTAAAAGCCTTCAGAGATTTGTCATTTATTTATACATGGCATTAGTGTCCACATTATACCAGAGATCACATACTCTCAGAATCATTCTGTACAGTGCCTAGTTGACTACCTGTATTCAAATACCAAGGAACAAAGTAAAATAAATTTCTATTCCTTTTTCATTTCTGTTTTCCATAGACAGTTTTATAAAGGTATAAGCAGCTAAGAATATATGTATATTGTGCAAATACATAACATTTTTAGGATATATTTTTGTGTAGTCACCTTACAAGTCTTTAAAGTATTTTTTCCAGCAATCCTGAATCAATTCTGTATGGGAACAAAAAGGAAGGAAAAATTTAGGTAAAGTGCTTTAACTCTTCATATGGTGATGCCTGTAGCTCTGGCCTATTCTATAATCGGGCTGTGTACTACATGTATCTTAGATAGGACTATTTATTGTGTTCCATTGTTGGGGTGCAGTTGGCAGTTTCAGCAGCTATTCAAATGTCTTCATATTAGAAGCATCTCACATGGAGCTCATGAAGGTGGTCCTTTGCCTGGTGTATTAGTCCCTTCTCACATTGCTATAACAAACTACCTGAGACTGGGTAATTTATAAAGAATAGAGGTTTAATTGACTCACAGTTCCTCAGGCTGTACAGGAAGCATGGCTGGGGAGGCCTCAGGAAACTTACAATAGTGGAAGGCAGAGAGGAAGCAGGCATGTGCTACATCACTTGAGCAGGAGGAAGAGAGAGTGAAGGGGGAGGTGCTACACATTTTTGAACAACCAGATCTTGTGTGATCTCACTCACCATCATGGGAACAGCAAAGGGGAAATCCTCCCCATGATCCAGTGACCTCCCACCAGGCCGCTCCTCCAACACTGGGGATTCCAATTCCACCTGAGATCTGGGCAGGGACACACATTCAAACCATATCACCTGGTAAGTAGGAAATATGCTAGTGTTTGACAGTATGACTATAGTGTGCAGAGGGACTTTCAGTCATTAAAATCATGAAGGAGTCTATACCAGAAAGTGTAACTTAAATTTTTTATAATTTGCATTTTAAGAAATTAAATGCCTGGAGAAGAAAAAAAGCAGTTTTCTTCAATATATTAGAGTGATAGTATACTGGAGGTGAAGGGAAGTTAGTTAATATTTAGTCAAATCTCCTTATTTTACGATTTTAAGGAAAAGGTTGAGAGTTAAGCAAATGGAAAAAGATTGCCAAAATTAGCACATGATATAAAACTGAAGAAATTTAGGAAAGTATTCAAAAATTAAAGAAAGTGTTTCTTGAGAAAATTTTTCAGAAAAAGAACAGAAAAAAACATTTTAATATCCTGGTTGGTGCTTTGGTGGGGGGTTATTTAAGAAATCTTTTTATTTCCCAAGATCATAATGATATTCTGTTTTCTTTTCTCTTAGAAACATTGTTTCAAGATTTTATATTTAGGTCCCTGATTTCTCTCAAATTATTACTCTATTTTTGAGACAGAGTCTCACTCTGTTACCCAGACTATAGTACAGTAGCACAATCATAGCTCACTGCAGCCTCAACCTCCTAGGCTCCAGCAATCCTCCCACTTTGGCCCCTCAAGTAGCTAGGACTACAGGTACAGGCCACCACACCTGGCTAATTATTTTATTTTTTAATTGTTTGTAGATGGGGGTCTTACTGTGTTACCCAGGCTGGTCTTGAGTTCCTGACCTCAAGTGGTCTTCCCACCTTGGCCTCCCTAAGTGCTGAGATTACAGGGTGAGCCACCACTCCCAGCCTTAAATTAATTTTTTGTATGGTGTAAAGTAGGGGGATTGCCATTTTATTTTACATTGAATTAATGGATTTCTACTTATTGAAAAGATCATCTCTTCTGTAATGAATTGCAGTGGAGTCTGTTTCATAAATCATGTGATGTATAAATTTGAGACTGTTTTTGACTCCGTTTTGTCTATTACATTGGTCTATTTATCCAGTTTCGCCCCAGCATAGCACTGTATTGTTACAAGGGCTATACATCTCCAGCCTTATTCTTCATTAGCATTGGCTTGGCTATCCTAGTTCCTTCCAATTAATATATAAATTTTAAAATCAGCTTGCCAATTTCTATAAAATAAATATTGTGGAATTCTGATTAGGATTGCATTGAATCTTTGGGTTCAAATATCCAAAGATTTCTATTTATTTGTTATTACTTGCTTTGCACTACAATTATTTATTTGCCATAGTTTGTATGTCATGTGTCTGATATAACTGATCACATATGTGGGTGCATTAACCTGGCCATCCACTTGGACATGTTTAAATTTTTTTTTACTGGCCGTATTGAGGTAGACTTGACAAAAATTATATATATTTAAGGTGTGCAACATAGTGTTTTGATATAGGCATACATTGTGAAATGATTACCATAATTAAGCTAATTATGTATTTGTATATATCTATATCTAGATAACCTTATATAGTTACAACTTTTCGATTGTGTGGTAAGAACACTTTAGATCAACTCTCTTAGCAAATTTCAAGTATGTAGTACAGTATTATTAACTATAGTCACCATGCTGTATATTAGATCTCCAGAATTTATTCTTCCCACCTAACTGAATCTTTGTATTCTTTAAACAACATTGATTTATTCTCCATGAATGTGGTATGTCTTTTTCTCTTATTTAGATAATCATTTCTTTCTCTTAGCTGTGTTTTTGAGGATTTAGTGTTGATGTCATGGACATTTTTATTCAAATTATTTAATTTTTGATGCGATTGTAAATGGTATTTAAAATTTTACTTTCCACATGTTTATGGTTACTATATAGAAATATATACATTTTTGTATAATTGACCTTTTATTCAACAACCTTCTATTCATATCATTTTTATTAAATTGCTCATAGATTCTTTTAACTTTCTACATGTATAAGTTTGCTGGGGTGGTGGGGCCCTCATGGAGAGCCTCTGTTAGGGTAGGGTGGAAGGGAAATGTGGGGTTCGAGCCCCCATCCAGAGTCCCAATTGGAGCACTGCCTAGTGGAGCTGTGAGAAGAAGGCCACCATCCTCCAGACCCCAGAATGGTAGATCCACCAATAGCTTGCATCATGCTCCTGGAAAAGCTGCAGACACTCAACACCAGCTTGTGAAAGCAGCCAGGAGTGGGGCTATACCCTGCAAAGCCACAGGGGCAGAGCTTCTCAAGGCTGTGGGAACCCACCTCTTTCATCAGTGTGACCTGCATGTTAGACATGGAGTCAAAGGAGATCATTTTGGAGCTTTATGATTTGATTGCCCTGCTGGATTTTGGACTTGCACAGGACTTGTAGCCCCTTTGTTTTGGGCAATTTCTCCCATTTGGAATGGCTGTATTTACCCAGTGCCTGTACCCCCATTGTATTTAGGAAGTAGTTAACTTTTTTTACAGGCTCATAGGCAGAAGGGATGTCTCAGATGAGACTTTGGACTGTGGACTTTTGAGTTAATGCTGAAATGAGTTAAGACTTTTGGGGACTGTTGGGAAGGCATGATTGGTTTTGAAATATGAGGATATGATATTTGGGAGGGGCCAGGGGTGGAATGATATGGTTTGGTTGTGTCCCCACCCAAATCTCATCTTGAATTTTATGTGTTGTGGAAGGGACCTGGTGGGAGATAATTGAATCATGGGGGCAGATCTTTCCTGTGCTGTTCTCATGAGAGTGAGTAAGTCTCATAACATCTGATGGCTTTAAGAATGGGAGTTTGCCTGCATAAGCTCTCTCTTTGCCTGCTGCCATCCACGTAAGATGTGACTTGCTTCTCCTTGCTTTCTGCCATGATTGTGAGGCTTCCTCAGCCACGTGGAACTATGAGTTCTCCATTAAACTTCTTTCCTTTGTAAATTACTTAGACTTGGGTATGTCTCTATCAGCAGTGTGCAAACTGACTAATACAAGCATTATGAAAGCTGTTGGGATTTTTTGTAGATAACCTTTATTAGATTACAGAAGTTTCCTTCTATTCCTAGTTTGCTGACTCAAAAAAAAAATAAGAGTTGTTGAATTTTATCAAGTACTTTGATAAGTTGGGCGTAATTTGAAATTAAGAACTTTTGTTGACCAAATGTATCATTGAGATTGTAAAAAGACAAGCCATTGGCAGGGGTCATATATTTACAATGCATGTAGCTGACAAAGACTTACAAGAAAAGACATATAGCCCAAACAAAATGGGAAAAAACAGTTTCAAAGAGCTTCCACTCGGCAAAACAGATAGAATTTGTGCAACAAAAGTTTTTAGAAAGACCTGGTTTTACCCAAAGAACAAAATAAATATCTATGAGCCCATACTGATATCAATAAATTATTAAATAAAAATTAGTGAGAAGGAACAAATATTTCTCACAGAAGAATTACAAATAATATTCTCCCCTCCAGGAGGTTGAGCTTGATTTCGCTTCCCTTGAGTGTGGATTGCACATAGTGACTCACTCCAAAGAAGAGATAATGCAAAAGGAAATTAGCAGTGTGGAACCATATTAACCAAGTGATGAAAGTTTACTCACTAGTGATAAGTCACGTCAATATTAGTTATCCTCTGAAATGACGCAATGAGATGGGCATTTCACCTCTATGGTTCTCTACTGAGAGAGTTACCTTAGAGATCAAGGTAGAGTTTGATCATGCAGGGGCTTTGAAACACAGTAATGATTGCTGGTTTTGTTTGAAAATCAACAGAGAGACATTCAGGAGAAACCAACTGAGATGTTTGCAGGAGCACAGGAAGCAAAGAGAGAGGGCAGAAAGCTCGGTGTTCGGGGCAGGGACCAGCAGCAGGCTAGGACTGAGCAGAGGCAGCAGGGATGGTGTCACACAATCTTCCTCATGCAGGAAAGGTCTCATGCACCCGTACAGATGCCAAGTTTTGTAATCACAGAGGCTAGAAACAAATGCACAGTGAAGTAAAAAAGATCTAAATATGTTGTACAAAATTATTATTTTTTAAATGCCAATTACATATCAATGGAGGCAATATTACTTTAAGATCACGTTTTTCATATGACTGTAATATCCATTACCTCCTAAGTAAGCAATGCTAATATAGAAAGTCATTTTCTCAGTACATACTCTATAATGAAGTGACTCTTAGATGGAATTGCCTCGTTGATTTATTACTGCAACTAGGTGATGAGAAGACTTCCACTGGAAGGCTTTTACAATTTATCAGGTTTTGTTGGTCTAAGGAAGGGTAATTACTTTTCTGGGGTTGATGTGATGTGTGAACCAATACAGGCACTGGGAATATGAGCAATAACCAATCTTCTACTCAGGCAAAATTAAATTGCAATGCATTTACTATATGTAGAATAGACATATACAGTAACAGTTCCAAGGGCTAGTTCCTGAAACATCATAATCTTCAAATTCACAAATGCAATATGATGTATACATTTGTCCTTCCATGCATGTGACAGCCAGGGGCTAGGGGCACTCATTAGTCAAAGGATGTGCTTTCACAACTAGGCTCATATAAAATCGTCCTCTAGAAATTGTAAATCAGTGCATGTCATGACTTTCAAAATGACTCATGAATAATAAAAATCACAAATGCTAACCTTTTAATTCCTAATGTATTTTTAAAATTTGTATGGTGGATCAGACTTCTTTTCTAATCATCAGTCATAAGTTTTTTATATCATTTTGTACTAATAAGACATGAGACTCTTTAGCCTAAAAAACAGAGGACGATGAGGGCACAAAGTAACTGCCTTCAAATATTCAAAATGTCACCATGTGGAAGCTGAAATGGATTTATTGTATAATACTCCAGAAAGTAAAATACACAGCAATAGATAGTGACAATAAGAAAGCAAATTTAGGTCTGTCATAAGAAGGACATCCCTAATAATTATAGTTCAACAATGGGATGGTTGTGTTTTAGGTTTAGGTTTTCTGCAAAGCAATGAACTTCCCATCAATGAGAGAATTCAAATAGAGGCTCAGTTCAACGTCAGAGAGAAGATGGAAGTGATTCCTACATTAGGTGCAGGTTGGACTAGATTACCTAGGAAATGACTTAACAGTCTAAGCATGTGTGTTGGGTGATGTATAATACTGATATATCAAAGTTCTAGGTAAGATTTCTGGCACTTATAAAATTTATTAAATGAATGAATGTCTTTATACATTTTTAGTGATACATTTTGAAAAGTCTTATGTCAGAGAGCATTTCTTAGGGAAAATGAAAGATGTTTCTAAACCTCCTGAGCCCCATGAGCATGAAAGAACTTGTTTCAGTACTGTGTGTTTTCAAATCCCTTTTATCCCATCAACATTAAAAATCATAAGGCTGTTAAGAATTGAGATGGGGTTTAAGATGATGAAGCGAGTTGTAGTGAACAGTTGCTAGTTGGTCTATCTGGGATCCCTCTCCTCTTTTTCTTTTCTGATAAGAGCCCCCTCTTCTCCTTTGTGGAAACTATTTTTTCTCTCATTTTATCTATGTGTTTCTATTCCAATCCTAATTGAAATAAATTGTCATACACAGAATTGAATTGAGAAATGCAATGAAATAGATTGCATTATGTTCCACTGAATGCAATCTATTTTACTGAAGCCCTATTATGTGCCAGGAACTGTGAGTGGGAAGAACTAACAATACAATAGAACCCATGAGAGTCCCTTGTTTTAGTCAGCTTATGGTTAGAGACAAAAAAGACCAAGTAATGGCAATTGAGAGCATGAAAATGCAGATCGGGGGTAGGTACTAGATGCTGAGGGAGCACACAGGGAGGCCCTTGGACCCTCTTGGAGATCAGAGATTCATACAGTTGTGTGGCACAGTTCAGAAAGGCTTATATTCACATGTGTGTCTTGAAATCAAATGTGCCCTGAATAATAATGAAGAGCTAGCCAGATAGACGAGAAGAAAGGATGTTCAAATTGCTTAGGGGCAACATGTCTAAAGCTAAGAGAACATATTTGGGAGGCTTCAGATGTTCTCATTTTCATCTCTCCTGTTGTCTTTGGGTTTCCCTGAGAACTCTTCCTGATTCACGGTTGTTGCCAGAGCACTGTTGGAATGGGGGTGGAGTGGGTGGGAGGGGAAGTGTGCTGTCATCTCATGATTCCATCTAGGTCTCTAGCAGACGTGTCCCCACCTCCAGGTAATATAGGGTGACTCACAGGACGAGTGTCTGGGAGATGCTCTTTCCCAAGGTTGATGAGGCTCAGGTAGACTTTTACCCTGGAGAGCAGGTCTTTGTTGTAGAGAACACTCTGCACGGCAGGCCTTTGTTGTAGAGAATGCTCTGCCATATTTCATAATGGTTACGTTTCCCCTCCCAGGGCCAGAGCCAGGAGGGAACCTTCGGGACTCACGATGAGAACGTGGTGAGGCTCCTGAAGGCAAAATGTGAAAGTGTGGCCCTCCCCTAGGAACACACTCTCCTGACTTTCTCATTCTCAGGCCACTCCATACACAGCCTCTCGTAGCTCATCAAAATTACAATTTTTTTTTTTTGAGACAGTCTCGCCCTGCTGCCCAGGCTGGAGTGCAGTGGCGTGATCTCGGCTCACTGCAACCTCTGCCTCCTGGATTCAAGCAATTATCCTGCCTCAGCCTCCCGAGTAGCTGGGATTACAGGCGCGTGCCACCACGCCTGGCTAGTTTTTATATTTTTAGTAGAGATGGGGTTTCACCATGTTGGCCAGGCTGGTCTTGAACTCCTGACCTCAGATGATCCACCTGCCTCGGCCTCCCAACAAAATTACAATTTAGATGTTCCTACCAGTTTAGGACAAAAGCAGGTTTTGTTCCATGTCAGCAGATCCTGGCTGGAACTCTCTGGATCTGTCTGTTCCTTCAAGTTCTAGGACGGTATAGTTTGCCCTGTGAACTCAGTTTTCTGATGTGTTCAAGAAAATTCACTGATTTTCAGTTTTTTTTTTTAATTGTGTAGATAGCAGTGATGACTTCCAACCTGTTTCCATGTCAGATCTGAAACTGAAAGTATCACAGTGGAATCAAACTAGAAATGTTATCAGGAAAATAATAATAACCTTTGCAAACACTTGGAACCTGAGTAACACCTTTCTAAATCTACAGGTCAAAGAGAGAATCTTGAGGACAAATTTAAAAATATATCAAACTTAATAAAATAAATATAGAACATTTTTCTTCTCTCAGTCAAAGCATTGTTGACAGAAAAATTCACAGCAATTCAGTCATCTAATATCCTACCTCAACAATTCAAAATAAATAGAAAAAAGCCCCAATGCAATCAATAGAAAACAATTACTAATGTTAACAGCATGAATCAATGATATTGAAAACAGAAATAATAGAGAAAATCGATGAAAAAAAAGCTGGCCTTCAGAAATATCAATATAATTGACAAACATCTAGTAAATCTGACAAAGGGAAAAAGAGAAGGCACAAATTGTTTATATCTGAAATAAAACTGGGGATATCACTACCAACCCTGCAGAAATCAACAGGCTAATAATAGAACACTATGAACAGCTTTACACACACAAAACTTAGATGAGTTGAACCAAATCCTTGAAATAACACACACACTATCATAACTCACCCAATATGAAATAGTTACTCTGAATAGGACTATAATTATTAATACAATTGAATACATGATTGAAAAACTCTCCCCAAAAAGAGAGCTGCAAGCTCAGTTGGTTCCACTGAAGAAGAGTTCTACACAGACTCTTCTAGAAAACTGATGAAGAAAGAATACTTTCTAACTAATTTTATAAACCTAATATTACTCTGTGTGATGGTTAATACTGAGTGTCAACTTGACTGCATTGAAGGATGCAAAGAATTGTTCCTGGGTGTGTCTGTGAGGGTGTTGCCAAAGGAGATTAAGATTTAAGTCAGTGGACTGGGAAAGGCAGACTCACCCTCAATCTGGGTGGGCACAATCTAATCAGCCGCCAGCGTGGCCAGAATACAAAGCAGGCAGAAGAACGTGGAAGGACTAGGCAGCTTAGTCTTCTGGCCTCCATCATTCCCCTGTGCTGGATGCTTTCTGCCCTGGAACATCAGACTCCAAGTTCTTCAGCTTTGGGACTCTTGGACCTTTGACCGTAGACTGAAGGCTGCAGTGTTGGCTTCCCTACTTTTGAGATTTTGGGACTTGGGCTGGCTTCCTTGCTCCTCAGCTTGCAGACACAGCCTATTGTGGGACCTCACCTTGTAATTGTGTGAGTCAATACTCCTTAATAAACTCCCCTTTGTATATATATCTATCTTATTATTTCAGTCCCCCTGGAGAACCCTGACTGATACACTCTGCACATTTGTTGAAAATCAATTGACTGTACATGTGTGGGTCTCATTCCATTTCTGTCTTGTTCTATGACCTGTTTGCTATCTTGTTCCCAATGCCACACTGTCCTGAAATCCAGTAGTTTCATTTCATCGATTAGAACCTGCAACCCCATGTTGAACAAAAATGGTGAGAAGGAAATATCTGTGACTTGCTCCTGATCTTCAACCTCTCACCCCTAGGTATGATGCTGTTTATAGTTGTGGGTTTTTGTTTTGTTTTGTAGATGCTGCTTATCCAGCTGAAGACGTTTCCTTCAATTTCTAGTTTGCTGACATTTACTTCATCAGTAATGGTTGTCGGATTTTGTCAAGTGCTTGCTTTTTCTGCATTGATTGGGATGATCATATACTTTTTTTCAGTTTATTAATGTAATAAATTACATTCATTGATTTTTTAAATATTACACCAATCTCATATTACTCAGCTAAATCCGAAGTGGTCATAATGCATTATGCTTTTGATACATTGTTGGATTCAATTTTCTAAAATTGTTAACAATTATTTTTTCATGTATGTCTATGTGTTATATTGGTCTGTAGTTTTCATTTGTTGTAATGTCTTTTTTTAAACAGCTTTGTATTGATCTATATTTGATATATACAAAACTGTACATATTTAATGTATACAATTTGATGAGTTTGGATATATGTATACAACTGTGGAACCACCACAATCAAGGGAAGAGACATATCCAGCACCTCTAGAAACTTCCTCCTCTGCCTTTGTTTTGTTGTTTTTTTGTGGTAAAAACACTTAAAAACTTAAGTGCACAATACAGTGCTGTCAACTTACAGGCACTCTATTGTAGAGCAGATCTCTAGAACTTATTCATGTCACGCAACTGAAACTTTATGTCCATTGAACAACACTCCCCTGTCTGGTTTTAATATGAGGGTAATGGTGGCTTCACTGACTGGGTTGGGAAGTATTCGTTCCTCTGGAATTTTTCTGGGAGAGCTTAAATAAAACTGGTATTATTTCTTCTTTAAAAAATTGGTAGAATTTCACAGTAAGGCAATATGGGCCTGGGGATTTCTTTGTGGAAAGGCTTTCAATTATGAATTCAATTTGTTTAGTAGATAGAGTGCTACTTAGGTTTTCTATTTCTCCTTGTGTGAAGTTTTGATAGTCGCATCTCAAAGAATTTGTCCATTTCATCTAAATTGTCAACTTACTGGAGTGTTTGGATATCCACAGGCCAAAAAAAAAAAAAATGCATCTTGACCTAAACCTTACACTATATACAAAAATTAACTCAAAATAGATCACAGACTTAAATATAAAATGAAAAAATTACAAAGTATTTAGAAAAAAACAGAATCTCCATGATCTAGGGCTAGGTAAAGTATTCTTAGACTTGACACCAAATGGAGTATCCATAAAGGGCAAAATTGGTAAATTTGACTCCATTAAACTAAAGAACTTTTGCTCTTCCAAAGACCTTATTAAGAGGATGAAACATTACAGAAAATATTTTCAGACTGAGAATCTAACAAAGGACTGATCTTAAGAATATATAAGGAACTATTAAAACTCCATAGGAAAGTAAAACAATACAATTAGGACCTAGACATGTCACTGAAGAGGAAATGCAGATAGCAAACACGCATGTAAAAGTATGTTTAACATCACTAGCTATTAGGGAAATGTAAATTAAAACCAAAATCAGATATCTCTGAATGCCTATCAGAATAGCTGAAATTAAAAATAATGACACCACCAAATACTTGCAAGGATGCAGACAAATGGATCACTCCTACATTTCTGATGGTAATGTAAAATGTTTCAGCCACTTTGGAAAAGAATTTGGCAGTTTCTTAAATAACTAAACATACAAGCACCATGTGACCCAACAGTTATCCAAAAAGAATGAAGGTTTATGTTCACATAAAATTTGTACACAAATCTTAATTGTAGCTTTATTCATAACAGCCTCAAATGGGAAACAAATAAGATATTTTTAAATTAGTGAATGTTTAAACAAGCCTTGCTATGTCCAAAACATGGAATACTACTCAACAATGAAAAGGAATAAGCTGTTAATACATGCATGTTAGTATATTGATACATGCAACAACCTTGATGACTCTTCAGAAAATTATGTTGAGAAAATGAAATCAATCTCAAAAAGTTGTATACTATCTAGTACCATTTATAAAACATTCTTGAAATAACAAAATTATCAAAACAGAGAGACACAAGTGTGGTTGCCAGGAGCTAAGGACAGAGGAGAGGGAGAGGGCAGTGAGTGTGGCTTTAAAAGTTCAACATAAGGGATGTTTGTGGTGATGGAAATGTTCTGTATCTTGACTGTATCATTGTCAATATCTGCAAGGTGTTACCACTGGGGGAATTGGGCAAAGGGTATATTGGATCTCCCTGTATTGTTTCTTACAACTGCATGCATATCTACAATTATATACAAATTTAATTAATAGAAACCAAGTCTTGACACATTTGGTGAGAAATAAAAATAGAATGTGTGAAAATATGCTTATTGTTCCAGAGGAACAATAAGGCTTGGTCAGGTAAAATAACCTGTCAAGTCTGGGCCAGAATACATCACTGGCTTTGGGGTACTACTTTAGTTTGAAACTGTTATGAAATTGCCTTCTCCCCTGCCCCTCCATAAGACATGCATTCTGGTGGAAATGTACTTTCCATTTCTTCCTTAAGTTGCACTGAGATAAGCTTGAGGGAGGAGGTTGAAATATGACTGACCTGATTCGTGGCATGAATAGTTTGAGACCCATATGGTTTATTTTAAGGGCATCTCTATTCTTTCTCTTCCCCTGCTGAAAAACAGTCCAACATTAGCCACCCTGCAAATTCTATTTACTTGCCAACCAATGTCTCACTTTTTACGAGACAACTTCCCTCTGAGGTGTGGCCTTATGCTAATGTATAAGAATTTATTTGAAGTCATGGAAAATATTGCTTCTTATATGCCATTCAAAGTGTTAATATGATTAACATGTAAGTGTTCCTTATAGACAACTAATAAAATGATGAATGCAAGTAAGTACTGATGGTATTAGAAGACAATATTTTAGCTTCTTCTCAAGGTGCTTCAAGTATCCTTGAGTTTTAGAGAGAATTTTACCAGGTAGCTTACTGAGGCCCTAATCATAGTATCCTCTAGAATAAAACAGGAATACTTAATTCCTCCTTTCCTGAAAATTGTGAAAATGTGTAATTTCAGAAAAGAAGAAATGCGTGAGGATTGAAATTGGCAACCAATCTTTGAAAGCCTAGTAGACACCCGATGCCTTCAACATGTCTTATATGACCCTTGCCTCCAGCCTGTAAGGTGAGTTTTGTTTTCCCCATGTAGCCTAAACGCACCTACTATAAATCAAAAGTAGAGTTTACATTCCCTTTTTTTTTTAGACGAAGCTTACTAATGTATAAAGTCCCACTGATTTCTTTCTTAGAAGGTAGTTCATAGGCACTCCACCACAAAGTGTCCCTTACGTGTTCCTGAGAGTTCCAGGGAATAAGCAGTGCTCCCTCCCAATCACATTTTCAACAGTTTTGCTCAGCCCACCTTCAGCCACCTTGTCTTGATGTCAAGCTGTGGCCTTTACTGTTGATGATGGTCACTTTCTTGGGTGTGGAAACATGGCTGGCAAGCCTTGCTGATACTTCCATATGAGCCACGGGCTTGCCACTGACGGTCTGTTTTCCAGAGCTCATCCTGCGTTTCTTATGCTCCCCCTGAATTTACCAGGCACCTTTACCTGGGATGCTGGTGGCCCCAGGAATGGGACCCTTCTTAGGCAACACCGTTGTTGCTTTCCTGTAGAGAGGATGGTGCTTTGTTCTGCTGCCAGCTTGTGGCTTGTCATGCGACAGCCAAGGAAGTCCTCCTGCACGACAGAACCATCCCATGCCCTGCTGGCCTCAGGTTCAGCTTAAATACCCCTCCCTCCCTGCCTGCGTTACGGTAGGAGGCCGACTTTCTCCTGGCATGCCTGCTGATTTCCTGCCCCACATTAGATCGCTTCTGGGGTGCCTGACATTCAGAATACTCCTTACTTTCATCAGTCAGGTGATGTTGACCCATGGTTCTATGAGATAATCTCAAAATAATCTAGATTTGGTACGTTCCAGAAATTTGGATTAGTTTGTTTGGTTTGTGGCTGCATAACATACTTACTTGCCCGTTTACCTTGGCACAGGCTTGGAGAGGAGACACTGGAAGCATGAGCTCCTGAGATGACAAAGACTTTACTTTGATTTCACAGTTTAGAGAATCAAGCCATTTCCCTCTGCCTCCTGAGTCACTTTAGTCTGAGCAAGGATAACAAAGTTTAGTGAACCCGAAAGCATATTTAGGAAGCGCTATATTGCGAGGTTGAAGCTGAAAATAAGATTGTTTTATTCAGGGTCAGACCCTATTTACTACAAACCTCATTAATTCTTTGCTTTAGAATAATAAGGGGGCTTGGGCAATGGCCCCACACACATGGGGGTGATCATAGTTGAGGGTTAACAACATGTCTGGGCTTATTCATTTATCTGTTTAGTAATAGCTTTTGTTTCCCCTTATCTAGTTCGCCAATATTAAAAGATAATGGTGACGAATTTATATTTCACTGGATTTAATTTGCTAGATTACTGGTCCCTCAGGACATGTTATAATTGTTATTTTCCAAATAATCGAATGCAAACATCTCAAGATTGTTTAGTTGGGGGCATGGAATTGAAAGTGATCATTTCAAGACAATCTATTTGTAATACAATTTGCAACTACATTATGCCACTTGCTCTAGGAGAACATGGGTAAATTGATTTGCAAGTAAAATATTTGGTAGAATTAATATTAGTGCCATTTTATGTGACTTGTAAAATTCCAGTGTTACTTTAGAGACTGCTTGTGAATGCTAAAATTACTTGTAACTTTTATTAATTAATAGTGAAGCAGAATTGTTGTAGTTGGCTAAAAAATATAGACTTGTTAATTGTGCCCTGTAATTTTTTTTTTTTTTTTTCTGGGATGGACTCTCACTGTGTTGCCCAGGCTGGAGTGCAGTGGTGTGATCTCAGCTCACTGAAACCTCCGCCTCCCGGATTCAAGCAATTCTCTTGCCTCAGCCTCCTGAGTAGCTGGGATTACAGGTACCCTCTATCATGCCCGGGTAATTTAAATACTTTATGGAGCACATATAACTTACGAGAGCAGCATTCTTGCATAAAGTAAACATTAAAACATATCTTCATTTTATGTATTTTATACATGCTTGCCCACGTTGTGTGTTCATGTTTTTATCTTTTTAACCTATTTATATTGGCATTTGAGAATTAGTGTCCTGAATTTGCAAAACTGGAATTTTAATTGAAGTCCAGTTTGTGTAAATCAGATTTACACAGTAGCACTGGCTTCTTGTAATTAGAACGATAAGACTGACATTTTCCTTGGAAAACCACTCATGCTCCATGTTCATCTCTAGTTGCCTATTTTGCTTCTGATAGGGTTTTTACAATTGGAATCCAACATTTGTTCTCATATCACATAAAACTTTGCTTTAGTAAATGCTACACAAAAATTACAAAAAGCCAAAGATGGACTCAGTAGATACTTCCACTTGTATTTAATTTGTGGATGTGTGCAGAGATATGTTATCTCGGGTTTCTAAGGAAAGGCATAGAATCAAACAGAAACCCATGGGAAAATAAGCTTATTCCATGCTGCTGTGAGAAACAAAATGTGCACATAAGTAAATTATGTAGAGTTAAAACATTCCTTGTACTAAGTTAGCATTCAGCATATAAAATAGACCATTATTATTTTACTGATCCCTTTATGTCCCTTTCTGACTGCATTCTCTATAGAGTTATCCATTTTCCTGAGTTTTACATTAATCATTCCTTTGTTTTTCTAATGGTATAATAATCTATGTATATAGAATGAACCACAGTGCTCTAGTTAATTTATTAGTTAATTTATTTTCACTGCTCTTTAGCGTTCCACTTTAAAGATATTTTGCAATTGATTTGTCAGTGCTACTATGGCTAGGTATTCCAAGTCATTACTTCTCTTTGTTATTATGAACGGTGCTACTCTAAACATCCTCATACACCTCCTGGTATACATGAGCAATATTTTCTCTGGGGGTTTGCTTAGTTATAGGTATTCCGATGTCCAGCTTTGCAAGGGAATACCAAAGTGTACTTCAATGCATTTGCACCAGTTTCCCCTGTCACTGGCATGTATTTGTTCTCATTGTTCTACTTCCTTACCAACATTGGATATCACTAGACTTAAATTTTTGCTAATTTGGTAGTAGTAAAGTAGATTTTAAATTGTGGATTTAATTTTCATTTTTCTGATACATACTGTTCTCATGTCATACAAAGCTTTGTTTTAGTAAATGCTACAAAAAATACAAAAAGGTAACAGGGGACTCAACAGATATTTCCATTTGTGTTTAATTTGTGGATATGTGGAGAGATCAGTATGTTATCTTGGATTTCTAAGGAAAGGCATGGAATCAAACGGAAACCCATGGAAAATAAGTTTATTCCATGCTGTTGAGCCTCATTTCAGATTTTTGTGGGCCATTCCTGTGTCTATTTCTGTCTTTTTTTTTTGTTTTCTGTCATTTAAGCCCTCTTTGGGGGCCAATTTTTCCATCGAGTTGTTTGTCTTTTTCTTGTGATTAGTAAACTATATCTATATACACACACGTGTGCACACACACATACTTTGTATACTAATCCTTCATCCATTTTAAGTGGTGAAAATATTGTCTCTCAGTGTGTGGCTTGCCATTTCACTTTATGGTATCTTTTGAGAAATAGAAACTTTTTCGTTTTAATGTAGTTACAATTATCCATCTTGTATAATTATCCATTCTGTTTTTTGGGGTCTTATTTAAGAAATCCTTTCGCTTATAGGTCATAGGATTTTCTTACATTTTTTCTGAAGAGGTTAATAGAAATGTCAATATTTTCCATATGAATACCACTTACTATAGACTTCATTCTTTCCCCACTCATCTGCCATGCACGCTCTGTCATATATCATCTGCATATATGTGGATCTCTTTCTGGGCTCCCTGAATGTTCACCTTGGTCTTAATGTCACACTGTTTTAATTACTACCACTTTACAATACACTTTGGTTACTATTACTTGCTTAAATATTTATAACTTTATTACCATTACTTTATAATAAGCTTTGATATCCAGTAGGGCAATTACTTCTACCTTGTTCTTCAAGAGAGCTTTGGCAATCCTTGGTCATTTATATTTTCTTCTAAATTTTAGAAATAGCTAAATGTTTCTAAATATTTTTATGTTTAGATGTTTGTGAAAAACAGCTGAGAAATGTATTGGAATTAGACTGAATTGATAGAACAGTTTCTGAAGAATTGATATATGTTCAAATTCAAAAATTTGATGTAACTCTCATTTTACTTAGATCTTCTTTAATATCTGCTTTTAAATGTCTTACACATCTTTGGTGAGATATTATTTTAATAGAATGCTTAAAATATTCTAAGTTAATTCTAAGGTTATATATGTTTCTTTTCTATTTAAATGGTGTCTTTAATTATTTAAATAACTCTGTTGTAGAATAGAAACGCAATTATACCTCTGTATATTGATTTTGTATTCATAATTTTGCCAAATTCTCTTATTACTGAGATTGTAATATTTTATCTGTTGACTACTTAAGATTTCTTTATAGATGATCGTATTTTCTAAAAATAATGACAATTTGGTTTATTTTATTCCAGTTTTACATTGTAACATTTTGTTAGTGTACTTTACTACATTTGCTTATTTTGGTCCTGATCTTATGAAAGATACTTGTAACTTTTCACTCATTCAACACATAGTCAGACATGGCTCAGCATATGCCAGTAAAAAACCAGCAAAACAAAAGCCAGCAGAAATCTCATACTTCATAAAGCTTACATTTTACAAAGGTAGGCGTGAAGAGAGAAAATAAGCAATCAGTATAACATGTAACTATATTATATAGCATTCTAGAAGGTGGTGCTTGTCATTGGGGGAACAGTGCAGAGAAAGGTGGCTCAGGTCTGGGGAGATATTGCAAATTTTAAATTAGGTCATTAGGTAGAACAAGGCCACCCAACACAGACACAGAGAAGCCATCCAGGAAGCTCCAACCCTCTAAGTGAGACATGGTTGCGACTCTGAACGTGGTGATCTGGAGGGGCTCAGATCTTGATACTTTCTGAATACACAGTTAATGAGATTTCCTGAGAGTTAGAATGTCAGATGTAAGAGGCAGAGAGGAGTTAAGAATTACTGAACAAAGGAAGGCTGAAGTTGCCAGCTGGCCCACTGAGATGGGGAAGGTTTCAGGTTTGAATAGGAACAACAGGAATTTGGCTATTGACACACTGCTTTTGGATTTGTAGAGGGCTTTTAACAGGTTTAAGAAGTTCCTTTCTGTTCCTCATACTAACACATATATATAGGGCACTTCAGCTCTTCACGTTTAATGCTCAGAATAACTCTATGACTGCTGGCCTGCAGCGGTGTTTTAGATTCTGGTTGTGACCATTCTGTTTTGCTTCTCAGACATCCCAACTGAAGTCTCTTTCCTTTTCCCTCACATAAATCCTTGAGAATTTTCTTTAGTGAGAGACTTCTGGAACAAACTCAATTTTGACTTGTCTGAATGTATCTTTATTTTGCTGTCATTCTTGAAAGATATGGAAGTCTCGATTGACTATTATTTTTCATCAGCACTTTGAAGATATTAATTACATTGCCTTATGGATTCTTTTTTACTGTTGAGAAGTCATCATCCTGTTTCTTCCTGGTGATCTGTCTTTCCTCCTTGGTTCTTTACTATTCTGCAGTTTCACAGCTGTGATTTTTATTTATGTGATTGACATGAATGTTGATTGACATTGGGCTCCTTGGCTGTAAGAATTGGTACATTTCAGCAATTCTGGAAAATGTCCAGCCATTATCACTGTCCTTTGAACATTGATTCTTATCCTTTATATTTATTTTCTCCTTCTGGAACTATAGTTAGACAAATGTTAAAGTGTTCCACTTTCTTTCGGTGGCACAATCTCTCTATCGTATTTCTCCTCTCTTTTTCATCTGTGCTGCATTCTGGATGACTTCTTCAGCTCTGTTTGCCAATTCGCTAATTTTTTCCTTAACTTTCTCCAACCTGATGTTTAATTCATTAACTTATTTTCATATCATTTGTAGAAGATAAAATTATGATGTCATTCTTTTTCAAATTTTCATGTTTCTAAGTAAACTCGTTCTACTTTCTACTATTTCTAGGCTTTTCTTTGCTTAAACATGTGAAATGTAATACATGTGTATTCTGATCATTGCTGTTTTGTAACCCTTACGGACTTCCTTCTGCTATCTCCTGTTATGACTGGCACTCATGCATGCTGTGTTTGTTTCCTTCTGTGTTTTATGCTTGTTTAATTGTCAACTACTCATTTTCTTTGGGATTTCATGCAGGAATATTTTTATTCCTGGGTCCCCTGAACTGGGGACAATTCTGATCTGCTTCTGCTAGTTGCCTGGTGCTCTACCAGACTTTGGGCTACACATATTCCCCGCATGCAAACAGTGCCAAACCTGAGGCCATCAATTCCCTTTTGAAGAGTGGCTTTATTCATTCTCTATCCCAGCTTTATATGGGAAGGCATCCTGTGAGATTCCTCATGTTGGGCAGGCCTAGATTTTATCTCTGGTTTCACATCAAAGCAGAAGCTCAAGGCCTCTAAGGCTTGGATGAAATCCCCAGACAAAAGGCAACTTTTGTTCTGGCAGTTCTTGCTTATTTCCCAGGTTCCTGCTTTCATTTTCATTTGGACCTCTGAGATTCCTTCTGTGCCAACTCAAAAATGCGGTGCAATATTACCGTCTATCTCTCATCTCTCTCTCTTCCAGCATTTTAGTTGTCTCAATAAAGAAGGCAGGGTCACCCACGGTATCTTGTCTGCTAGAAATGCAGCTCCAACTTAACATTTTAATAAAAAAATTTAGAATATCATGGGCATTTAAATATAAAATAGTCATAAGTGATATATTTTGAATATTGGCTTGAAATTTTTCATTGAGATATTTATTTTCATTCTTATACTCACTATAATATTTTATTACTTAAGGACTAGAAACTATAGCCTATAAAGTTCCCAGTTATCATATTTTATATTTCTGATATATATTTTGTTTCTTTTAAAATTATTGAAGAGCCTTAAACTCTAGATTCCAAGAAAAGTTGTTCTATGCTAATATTTCCTAAGGGGTTGAGTTTATGTGTGGGAGAAGGTAAAAACAACTGTTCTTTCAATTATTTCTTTTTGGATTTTGTTCTATAAATGCACATAAATTATGCTTTTTAAACAGCCATGTATACATGGTGATTTTCATAATTGAAGGATTTTTCTAACAGTATCCACTAAGCACTTAATGATGCTGTTTGATGAGAAGAAATATTCTAAGCAAATAGGCTTCACAGAAGTAGAAAAAACACTCCTAAAATTTGTATGAAACTACAAAAGACCCTGAATAGCCAAAGCCATCCTGAAAAATAAGAACAAAGCTGTAGGCACTGCACCACCATCTTTAAAAATATACTACAAAGCACAAAGGAGCCAAGAACATGCAATGAGAAAAGGATAGTCTCTTCAATAAATGGTGTTGAGAAAAATGGATATCCATAATAGAAGAATGAAATGAGACCCTTATCACATACCATATGCAAAAATCAACTCAAAATGTGTGAAAACCTTAAATGCAAGACCTAAAACTATGAAGCTACCAGAAGAAAACATGGGGAGACACTCCCTGACATTAGTCTGGGCAATACTCTTTTGGATATGACCCCAAAAACACAGGCAACAAAAGCAAAAATAGACAAGTGGAATTATATCAAACTAAAAATCTTCTGCATAGCAAGGGAAACAATTAACAGACCAAAGAGACAGCCCATGCATGGGATGGGAGAAAATATTTTTAAACTCTACATCTGACAAAGCGTTAAGATCCAAAACATACAAGGAACTCAACTGAAAAGACAGAAAAAAATAGCCCAACAAAAACATGAGCAAAGGACCTGAATAGACATTTCTCCAAAAAGGACATGCAAATGGCTAACAGGTATATGAAAAAGTCCTCAGCATCACTAATCATCAGGGAAACACAAATTTAAAAACTCAGTGAGATATCACTTTACACCTGTTAGGATGGCTATTATCAAGAAGACAAAAGATAACAAGTGTAGGTGAGAATATGAGAAAAGGGAACCCTTGTGCATTGTTGGTGGGAATACAAATTAGAACAGCCATTATGGACAACAGAACCACCTGTGATCCAGCAATGACACTACTGGGTGTAGAGCCAAAGGGAATGAAGTCAGTATGTGGAAGAGATGTCGGCATTCCTATGTTCATTGCAGCACTAGTCACAATAGCCAAGATATGGAATCAACCTAAGTGTCCATCAATAGAGAAACGGTTAAAAAAAATGTGCTACACTTTCTTACATATATTCATATATTCTTACATGTATTTTTGCTTAAATATAGGAAAACATTTTCTGTATTTTCTTATATATGCACAAGGAAATACTATTCAGCCTTGAAAGAGAAGGAAATTCTGTCATTTGTGACAACGTAAATAAAGCTGACGGATATTATGTTAAGTGAAGTAAGTCAAGCACAGAAAGATAAATGCCATATGATCTCATTCATATGTGAAATCTGAAAAGGTTGAATTTATAGAAGCAGAGAGTATAATGCTGGTTACCAGAGGTTGGGGTGATTTGTAGGGGATGTCACGGAGATGTCGGTCAGAGGGTACAAAAGCTTAGTTAGACAGAAGGAATCAGTTCAGGAGATCTATACAACATGGTGACTATAGTTAATAGTAATATATTGTGTTCTTGAACAATGCTAAGAGAGTAGATGTAAAATGTTCTTATCACGAAAGTCATAATTATGTGAGGTAATGGATGTTAATTATGTAGATTTAGTCACTCCACAATGTATATGTTTCAAAACATCATGTTTTACATGATATATATGATACATATGTACACGATACATATGATATAAAGCCAATAGGTATAATGGAAAAAGTAGTAGGAAGTTTATTTGTTTTATAGGAGAAAAAGTTTTCTTGCTGGAAAACCAAGTGAAGAGAGAGTTTTTAATCCTTCTTTTTAAAGTAAGAAAGATTTAGAAGATAAAAGGAAACAGTTCTTGTAGCTTGGTTAGGGCCAGGGGTACCTCCATGACCCTCTCTGAGTTTTCTCCTGACACACTTCCTTAAGAGATTCAACAGCATGTCCCATATCCAAGGATAAAGTTAGAATAAGAGAGAACTGAGAAGTCCAGAAACATGAAAGCCAATGTCCCTGTGTATTTTTTACCACAGATTGGGATAATATGTCTTTTTGTTACTTCCCTTTCCTTTAAAGAAAACAAATTGAAGGAGGTTGGCTTCCCTAAAAAATGGTTCATATAGAAGGAAATACTGTAGATTTTGGTGCTTGCTGGTGCTTCACTGTTAAAAGGGTAAACGCCTACAAACTCCAAATTCCTGCTTAAGTCAAGGCAGAGACGTTCAGCTCTTCTTCTTTCCCCAAACAAAATTCCAAGCTGTTAAAAGTTTGGAGTGAGGATGATGTCAGGTTTGAGAGAGAGGGTAGGCCAAGGAGAGGGCTGTGAGAGGTGAAAAATTTCCCAAGGGAGGCATCGTGCAAATGTTAAAAGTAAAGCTGGCCCTCTAAGGCTGCACATCTTGGCGGATATCCCAAATCGAGTGTTATTAGGCATCTCCAGAGTGTCTAGCTTTATCTTGAATATGTTAAAAAGTGAGAGAAATAGGAAGTTTATATGACAGCGTTTCTGTTTTTTATTTTGTTTGTTTTACTGAAAATAGGTACTATGGAAAGAGATTATTATTAAGTGGTTCTTAGTATTAAGCGGTTCTCTTCCTTATATTAAAGTAAATGGGGTAAAAGCCAAGCGTTACCAAAGTTTTGGGATGATGTTCCGAATGAAATTCCCAAAACTTTATTAAGTACGCATGCTTTTCAAATTATATAGAAAAGGCAGACTTGAGCTATTCACATAAATCAAGTTTTGATACAGAGAGGGGCTGAGGGCTACTGGTAGTGTTTCAGAGACAGGCTCAGGAAGGGTCGCACATTCACCTAAGTTTACTCAGTCACTGGTGTGCTTCCAATTCCTGATTTTCATCTCACTGCTCCATCCCTGTTCATTAATGTGGAGCACAGGGGAAAGCAGAGATTTGGCCTCTCTGCAGCTGGATACATAAATCAACAGGGTTTGTTAACTCAGCCTGCCCTTGGGGTACAGGAGCAGGCGAAGGGGTTCAGTTTGGCAGTTTTAAACCTCTGAGGGTTACTTGATAACACAGATTACCTTTCTCACTAGGCTGTGTTGGTAAATTTCTTTTTTATTTATGCTATTTCAATAATCATGTTGAAGAGTAATTTATAAAAGGAGTAATTTATATAATTCACCTATAGGCTCCTAAATGTATCATGAAAGCAACATATCCTTTCAAGAAGATATTTCTCCCTAGGGTGCAGGACTGCCCAATTAGGCGTATGAATGCCATCTTTCCAGGCTCTCAACTCCTCAGGGCAGACACTGTTACTGATGGGGCACAGCTTCATTTATCACACTTCTCTGTGTACGTTTATGGTGCCGAATACATGTTAAATAATAATTATGGAGATTTTAATGTCTTTCCCAGAAGCGTCCTCCATGGCCCACAGTGGAAGATGGACTAGTCGCCATTTCATTTTACCACAGTTCTTTGTATTTTGTGCAGACTAGGGATTGTTTAGGTTGGTAATAATCTCAATGTGTTTTGCTTATGCCAACATACATTTTCAAAATTGGTAGAATGCCATTTATAAGACCCAGTGAGTTATTAATAATTTTTTAAGCATGTGGGTCACATGATATGAATTTCTTTTTGTGTTGCTTTGTGGCCCTTAGGTTGATGCACACACACATGCATGCATGTGCATGCACACACACGCATGCATGTGCATGCACACACACTTTATGTGGATATGTATATATGTGCACATATGTAATTTAATTATTTTTAAAAACTAAAGCACAAAGTTACTATAAATTTATTTCAGCACCGTATGCGCATTTGAGCACCAAGATCACAAGAGCAATCCAGTAATAGATAAATAAGTGGGTAAACAAATAAACAAATAAGGGAGAAGGGCGAGGTCTTCCTCACAGTGGCAGGCCATGTGGGAAATGTGGAGACAGTGCTGGAGTTTTGCGTGTGTTAGAATAAAAATTGGATCAGACAAGAATCATCAGTGGATGGCAAATTTAAGAGGAAATTTTGACGAGGAGCTCAAAATATCTCCTCACAATCTGCTTGTTCAGTTCAAAAAATAATGAGGTGGAGAAATTGGACAACACCTTGGTTGAGCGATCAAAATTAACACCATAGATGAGGAAGAGAGGAGCACTGCGTGCTTCCAGGTGTAACTCCCCGGACGCACCGTCACCTCTGCAGTGTTTCAGCTAAGAATGCACTCCCTGAATCCAATCACGATGAAGCAACAGACAAACCCAAAGTGAGGACCTGCCTACTAACAAAAGGGGAGGGGCACGATATTCTTCAACAGTTTCAACGTTGTAAAAGAAAAAGGCTGAGGAAATGTTCTAGATAAAAGGAGACTGAAGATGCGTGACAACTAAATGCAGTATCTGACTCTAGGCTGGATCCTGTCCTGGAGGGAACAGAAGTTATAAAGGACGTTATCGGGCAACTGCAAAATGGAATACAGATGTGGATCAGATACTGTGCTGTATCAACGTGAAAGTGACTCAAGTGGAGAACTCCACTGTGGTTATGGAAAAAGATTTTCCTATTGTTGCATAATACACACTGGAGTATGTAAGGGTAAAATTATACTCTGCAAAATTAATCTACTTTTTGTTTCCATATATATATGTATGTACATCCTTATTTGCTTCATTATTAATACACTTTTGGTCTTCTTCCATATAGATATGAATATCTCATATATATTTCATATTCATACATTTGTATATTCTTATTTTCTTCATTATTAGGCAATCTATTTCCAGTTTATAAAACCTGAGTTAAGTAAATATTTGCCTTTTGAGGAATATAGAAAATATTTCCAGGAATATAAGAAGGATTGTGAGAAAAATAACATTTCTTTTTTAAAAAAGTGCCGCTGCTAAAACTGTACATTTTTTTGACAAAATAAGAGTTTTAAGATATATGTGTATCAAGCTCCCTTCTTCCATTCTCTTTTTTGTATCCTGACATGGAGAAAAATGAGCTGTAACTGGCAAATATCCCAGCGATGGCGCCTACGGGTTTCTGCTCCGTCGAGGTTCCTGGGTCCCAGAGCCCGTGGGTAGGTGGAGGGAAGGCAGCGAGTGAAGCAGATGTTATTTTCAAACCCAGAATGCCAGACCACTGACAATAAACACAGACTCCTCTCTGCCCCTCTTTTCAACCTTCCTGTCTCCCAAGCCTTTGCCAAGGGTTTCTTTATTCTTACCCCTGGCTTTCTCTGTTCCCTAGCATTCTGGTGACTTCATCCGGTGTGTGTAACACAGGCCTTCCATGGTCATGCGAACACAATGAAATGATGTCATTCCCCGGCATCCCTGGCCCAGCGCCCACGGTTTCCGACGATGCTCCAGCCATTCCTGACTGCACAGGATGGGGTAGGCCTTGGCCTCTCGCTGAATGGTTTAATTGAAAGACAGTGGATGCCAACGCATCAGAAGCTTCTTTCCTTTTTGTTCATCCCAATGAAATCTCCCAATTATCTGCAAAAGGAATGTTGAGAGGTTTTGTCGGGGTATGGCCCTGGAGAGGGAACAAGATGACTAGTAGGTTAAAAAGGAGACAGATGAAACTTTTGTGTCTAGAATGAAAAAATTCTGAGCACATTCACAGATGGCTTGTGTATCAAGGAAGTCCCAGTGGCTAGTTACAGCAACTCATGCACTAATGTGAACAGAGCTTTTGATTTCATGGTTTAAAATAAAATGACCCAAATATAATTACTAAAGCTTATTAATGTGTTTGTTCTGGGTCAGTAACCCTTTACTGGCCGCAGGAGCTTTTTACATAAGGGGCATGAGAATTAGAGCTTTCTATTTGGAATACTTTGATTCTTCCATGGAAGCAGGAAGAAATAATCAACAAACTGCTTGTTTTAATAATTGTACCCTATTATGAACCACTTGATATTTAATTTTTAAAGAATTAGCTTAATTTTGCAGAAGAAGTAGTGTCAAAGCAATACCGCACAACTTATCAGCACTCAATACCGGTCAGTTGATATTTTAAAAAGTGGCACCGTAGGGCTAACCTGGTTGTAGTAGAAAGACGAGCAGTTGCAGAAAGAGCTTCTCCTTTGTTGGCAAAAGTACAAAAGACAAAAATAAAAAGCAAGTGTGAAAAGTTGGAAAGAAACATGCCTACGATTTTATTCTTGTACAGAGAAAACAGTTTTTCTTTAATACCTTTCTTTAGAAATTTGTATGAATTTTTAAAATATTTTGAGAACTCAGGTACTAAAAGTAAGGTTTCTTTTCATAGAATAAAATTGTAATGTAAGAAGTTTAGAGAATTTGAAGCATTGAGGAAGTGTGTTTTTTTAATGTAAGATCCTGAAAGCCCATGTCCTACATTAAAAACCTATGCGTTAGTTATTAATAGACTTTAATTTCTTTTTCTTGCTGCCTTTTTCAGGTGTACCCATTACAATATACAAATGGAGAGGGACTCGCTATTGAATTTAGACCTGTAACTGTTGCAGATGAGGTTGTAAAATGCCACGTCCATTGTCATTTTCCTCTTCCAATTCCTATCGTACAATTTGAAATCAATTCTTTGAGACCATGTTTACTTAAAGGCCTATTTAAGATTGCTTGAAAACATATGTGAAGAATGAAATAATCAACATTTAAGCATGACTGTTTTCATGCTACTATCATGAACAGAATAGTTTTTGACCCAAAATATGAATTTTTTGAGACAGAAACCTGAATATGTTTTGTTGGGGGAGAGTCTTAGGAGTGTTTCTGCTGTAGGGACAGTAAATGAGGTCACACTGACAAATATGCTTCTGCTTACTGCATGGATAAAGAGTAAGTCACTTGTCTTCCCCTTATGAGTGGCTCTCTGGGCATATACTCAGAATTGCTATTCCACACGTACTCCAACTGATGTATTCATTTGTACTCATTTACAAGCAACACTGAGCATCTACCTGGGATCCTGGGTACTGGGATGGAGAGAGGAACCCCAGCAGTCCCTACCTTCAAGGGGCTCCCATCCAGGGGAAGAGGAGAGACAACACAGAAATGGTTAAGCTACAAGGCTCCTCTTGAGCCATGTGGGCTGGGTCAGGAGTCCAGGCTGTGCTGTGCTGCTGAGAAAAGCTCTTTCAGCCCTGTGGGGAATCTGTCCATCACCTTGCCTCATTAGCTTGTGCTTCCACCAAAAGACTTAACCTGTTCCACAAGGGTGCTGAACCTAATGACATGTAGTGTGCAGATGTCTTGAATATCATAACAGTTTCTACATAGTATGGATTTTAGTGGATGAGTGAAAGCATAGCTCCTAAGGTATAAATCTCATGCAGTGTTTCCAAAGACAGACTTTCCTCCCAAAGTTCAGGGTACCAGTAGATGAGGGGTGATTGGTAACTTTCAGCCTGGAATAGAACTCAAGAAAATATACTGAAGCTTTTTGCCATATACCATAATATACCACAGCGATAAGTCTGTGAAATAGTGTTGTTTCTAAGGTTCTACTGCGAAAAAGCCTTTCAGTGAAATAAAAGACTGCTTTTCTCCTTTACTGGGTTTGGGCTATTAGACATAGTGCCAACACTTTCCTTTTATTAGAATGAAGTTGATATGCTTGTTTATGAGGTAAAAATGACCTTGTGAAGAATTCTTATGTCATAACCCATAGATTCAGCATCCTGGTCAAGTTTAACAGCCCTGCCAGAAAGTCTAAAGTGAAGAACTAGGAGAGCCTCCAGCAATGCTCTTGGGACTTGCCTTGCCATCAGAATCCCCCAGAGTGCTTGTTAACTATACAGAGTACTGGGCTCCCTCCCCTCCAGACCTATTAAATTTGACTTCCAGGGAAGGGGCCAGTGAATTTGTATTTACTACACTTTTATCTTGGAGATAATTGTAAATTCACATTCAGTTGCAAGAAAGTACAGAGTGGTCCTTTATTCCCTTTACCTGTTTCTCCAGTGGTAACATCTTATATAACTACAGTACAGTATCACAACCAGGAAACTGACCTTGGTGCAACACACTGCCCTTTTCCAGATTTCACCAGTTTCATATGCACACCGTGTGTGTGTGTGTGCATTTAGTTCTATGCAATTTTATCACATTTTGAGATCTGTGTATCTGTCACCACAGACAAGGTACAGAACTGTTCTATTACCACAGGGCTCTCTCCTGGGATCTTTTTATAGCCACTTTCACCTTTCTTTCCCTCCTCTGTCCCTAATCTTGCCAATTGCTAACCCGTTTCCTATCTCTGTTATTTCATCATTTCAAGAATGTGCTATGATGTAATAACACCCTATGTAACTTTTTGGGATTGGCTAATTTCACTTAGCATAACTCTCTGGAGGTTCACCCAAGTCACTGCATGTATTAATAGTTCATTCCTGTATTAGTTCATTCTTACTTTGCTATGAAGACATACCCAAGACTGGGCAATTTATAAAGGAGAGAGGTTTAATTGACTCACAGTTCCACATGGCTTGGGAGGCCTCAGGAAGCTTATAGTCATGGTATAAAGGGAAGCAAACATGTCCTTCTTCACATGGCAGGAGGAGAGAGACGAGTTAAGAGCTGAGGGAAGAAGGAAGCCTCTTATAAAACCATCAGATCTTGTGAGAGCTTACTATCAGGGAGAAACTGCCCCTATGATTCCATTACCTCCCGCCAGATTCCTCCCACCAAATGTGGGAATTATGGGAACTACAATTCAAGATCAGCTTTGGGTGGGGACACAGCCAAACCCTATTAATTCATTTTTATTACCAAGTGATATTCTATGGTATGGTTGTACCACAGTCGGTTTAATTATTCACCTTGAGAAGGATATCTCCAGTGTTTCCAAGTTAGGGCTATGGATGAACATAAGTTGCCATTTATCAAAGATAATTGCACAATGCTATTGCTGGGTCATATGTTAGTTGCATGTTCACCCTTTTAAGAAACTGCCACTCTGATTTCTGGAATGGCTGTGGCATTTTACATTCCCACCAGCAATGTATGTATGAGTTATCTAGTTTCTCTGCCTCCTTGCCAACATTTGGTGTTTTTTCTATTTCTTAATTCTGATAGGTGTCTAGTGATACCTCATTTTGGTTTTAATTTGCATTTCCTGAATGGCTAGTAATATTGAACATCTTTTCAAGTGCATATTTGCCATCTGTATTTTCTCTTCTCTAAAATATCTATTTAGTGAAATATCTTTTGCCAATGGTCTAATTGCATTGTTTATTTTTACTGTTAAGGCTTGAGGGGTCTTTCTGTTCTAGATAGTAGTTCTATGTCAGATATGCAGTTTGTAAATATTTTTACCAGTCTGTAGCATGTCTGGTAATCCTCTTAATGAAGCCTTTCACAGAGCAAGAGTTTTGGTAATCAGGTCCAGTTTATTAAAATTTTCTTTTAGAATGCATGCTTTTGGTGTTAGGTGAGTAACTCTTTTTTTGGTCTTTGGTCCTGGAGATTTTCTCATATTTTTTCAAAGTTTTATAGTTTTTTATTTTATATTTAAAGCTCATCATCTATTATGAGTTACATTTTGTATAAAGTGTGAACTTTAGGTTTAAATTTGTTTTTTTTTTTTTTGCCTGTAATATTTAATTGTTACAGTGTCAGTTACTGAAAAGACTATCCTTCTTCTACTGGTTTTTATCCTTCTTCTATTGACTTCCTATGTTTTCTGCTGCTGTAACAGAATACCACAGACTGGGGAGTTTATAAAGAAAAGAAGTTTATTTGGCTAGCAAATAAACTTTTAGGGGGCTGGGAAGTCCAAGAGCATGTTGCCAGCATCTGGCAAGGGCCTTCTTGCTGCATTATCTCAAGCAGAAGGACGGGAGAGTAAAGAGACAGAGAAGGAAGTGGGCTGAGTTCATCCTTTTTATTAGGAACCCCTCCCATGATAACGAACTCATTCTTGAGGTTAAGGTAATAATCCCTTCTTGAGGGCAGAGCTCTCATGACCTAACCACCTTTTAAAGACGGTGCCTCTTAATACTGTTAAAATGGCAATTAAATTTCAACCTGCGTCTTGGTGGGGACATGCAAATCATAGCAACTGGATTGCTTTCTCTTCTTTTGCCAAAATCAGTTGGTTGTCAAAAATCAGTTGGACATATTCGTGTGTGTCTATTTCTGGGGTCTCTATTCTGTTTCATGGATCCATGTGTCTGGCCCCTGCCACGCCCCACACTGTCTTGATTACTGCAGCTATACAGTAAGCCCTGAAATCTGGTAGAATGATTCCTCCTACTTCATTTGTGTTTGCAAATTTTGCCTTTGCCTTTCCATATAAATTTTAGAATTAGCTTGTCTAGGGTCCGCAAACAGTCCTTCAAGGGAAATTGACAAAAATAGCATTAAAACTATAGGTCAATTTGGAGAGAATTGACATGTTTCCTATTTTGTCTTTCAATCCACACCATAATTTGCGCTTTTATTGATTTATGCCTTCTTTGATTGCTTTTATTAGCATAATTTTCAGCACACAGATCCTGCATATTTTTTAAAGTTTATACCTAAGAATTTAATTTTGTTTGGAGAAAATAGGATTGTATTTTTAATATGGTTTCTACATATTTGTTGTTAGTATATAGAGATGCAACTGATTTTTGTGGGCTGATCTTGCATTGTGCAACCCTACTGAACTCACTGATAATTTCTAATTTCTGACAATTGGTAGATTCATTTGAATTTTCTATATAAACAATTTTTATCTGCAAATAGGGACAACTTAGTTTTTTTCCTTTAAATGTGTATGCTTTTTATTTCTTTTCCTTTAATTATTATATTGGCTAGAACTTCAAATCCTAAGTTGAATAAGTGTCGTGAGGGCAAAGGTCTTGCTCTTCTCTTGATCACAGGGTGAAGTTGTTCAGTCATTTGCCATTAAGTATGATCTCAAATATAGATTTTTTTGTAAATGCTCTTTATCCAATTAAGAAAGTTTCCCTCTATTAGTTTTATGAGATTTTTTTTTCATTTTGTGAATGGGTGTTAGATTTTGTCAGATGCTTTTTTCTGTGTCTATATAATTATGAGAGTTTTCTTCTTTATCCTTTTGATATGATTACATATATTTCTTGATTTTTGAATGTTGAACCAGCCTTGTATACCTGGAATTACACTTGGTCATGGTGTATAATTCTTTTTCTATATTGCTGAATTTGATTTGCTGAATCTGTATTTTTCACACACTCTTTATTTTTTTATTTATTTTTTATTTTTTTGGTAATTTTTATGATCAGGCCAGGTTGGGAAACATTACGGTAAGAAGTCCCAATCTATATTTTGCATTAGAATAAGCTTATTTGTTAGCAAAAGGAGGTTTTCTAGTTTTCAAAATAGAAGATTTTGCTAACTAAGGTCTTCCTTTTATAACAATATTTCTCACAACTATTAGGCATCAGACTTATTCAGGTGGTTTATCAATGGACTTCTACTTGTGTCTAATAAATTCTCAGAACAGTCTGCTGCCAATGGATTAGAGAGAATATTTTCCATTCTGAGGTATTCAGGACTTTTTTTTAGTATTAACCAAGCTTACCATCCAGAGGTCACAACAGAGAAGCAATAAATTAATTGGAAAATTCTAAATTAAACTTTTGGCCTTGATTTGCATAAGTATATTTCTATTAAAGAATTTATGCATTCAAAAATTATTGATTTGTTGGATCTCAAGTAAAAAAAATCACTCTATTGTCTACTGGGAGGATTGTAAAGCTGAATTAAATGTATATCAATCCTCCTTTATTCTTTCATTAAATTGTTTATTCACACAATCAAAAACATATTTGAGCCCCTAGTGTGCCAAGAACTATCATGGACAATGAGATACAGCAGTAAAGGAAATCAACAATGCCCAAGCTCTCATGGGACTTTCCTGGCAGAATAGCGTGCATGCCGGGGTGCATGGTGGCACTGGGAGCTCTTAGCGTGTAGCTGTGAAATGGTGTAGATGTGACCGTTTATAACATCAAGCAGAATTTTAAGCATGATCAGAGGGGTGGTGTTTAGTGATTAGGGAGTTTGGGGGAGGGGACAATTACTTTCCGTTTAGAGTTGAGCTTCATGAGGAAGTTGCCTTTTGAGTTAATCCTTAAAAGATGAGGCACATTTAGATATGCAAAGAGGGAGTGGGTGATGGGAGGACACAGGTACAGCATTCCCGCCTGAAGGGCAACATCAAAGCAAGGTGGAGAATGCAAAAGGTGGGAAAGTATAACTAGTTTCAATAAACTTAATTCACTTAAGTTTAACCAGTTATGCTAGTTCAGTATAACTAGCTCAGTGAAACCAGTTACGCTAGTTCAGTATAACTAGCTCAGTGAAACCAGTTACGCTAGTTCAGTATAACTAGCTCAGTGAAACCAGTTACGCTAGTTCAGTATAACTAGCTCAGTGAAACCAGTTACGCTAGTTCAGTATAACTAGCTCAGTGAAACCAGTTACGCTAGTTCAGTATAACTAGCTCAGTGAAACCAGTTACGCTAGTTCAGTATAACTAGCTCAGTGAAACCAGTTACGCTAGTTCAGTATAACTAGCTCAGTGAAACCAGTTACGCTAGTTCAGTATAACTAGCTCAGTGAAACCAGTTACGCTAGTTCAGTATAACTAGCTCAGTGAAACCAGTTACGCTAGTTCAGTGAAACCAGTTATGCTAGTTCAGTATAAGTAGTTCAGTGAAACCAGTTACGCTAGTTCAGTATAAGTAGTTCAGTGAAACCAGTTATGCTAGTTCAGTCTAACTAGTTTAGTGAAACCAGTTATGCTAGTTCAGTATAACTAGCTTAGTGAAACTAGTTATGCTAGTTCAGTGAAACTAGTTATGCTAGTTCAGTGAAACCAGTTATGCTAGTTCAGTCTAACTAGTTTGGTGAAACCAGTTATGCTAGTTCAGTCTAACTAGTTTAGTGAAACCAGTTATGCTAGTTCAGTCTAACTAGTTTGGTGAAACCAGTTATGCTAGTTCAGTCTAACTAGTTTGGTGAAACCAGTTATGCTAGTTCAGTATAAGTAGTTTGGTGAAACCAGTTATGCTAGTTCAGTATAAGTAGTTTAGTGAAACCAGTTATGCTAGTTCAGTATAAGTAGTTTAGTGAAACTAGTTATGCTAGTTCAGTATAACTAGTTTAATGAAACTAGTTATACTTTCCCATTTGCCTTCACTAGTTATGACACCATAATTTATGACACCATAACTAGTGGGGAAGTATTACCGGGCTTTGTGCGTACCCAAAGAAGAAGAGGCTCAGAAGGAGACAGTTAATGCATTTGATTTTGAATATGCACATATGAAAATGCTTATATATGTAACACACATGTACACACACATATCCACATAACAAAACCAATAAAACTAAAGTGAATCAAGATTGTAAATAAATAAAAATTATGGTTTAGGAAGGAATGAAAATGTAGGTAGATGTAGGTCTCATAAAACAAGAACATCTAGAGCAACACTGAACATGTTTACAGTGTCCCTTTCTGAACATATGGGAAAAAATGACCCTGGTTTCTTCCTGGTCTCAGGGTTTTTGTGAGTGTAGGTGGACAGGGCAGCTGCACCTGATGGAACTGGTGGCTTCCTTGGGAGCTGATCAGGCAAGCCGGCCTAATATATGAGCACACTTCCACAAAAATAAAAGACACATACACAAATAAGTAAACAAGCAAATAAATAAATGTACATTTTAAAATTTGACCATCCTGAAATGTCACATTCTACTTTGATCCCATTATCTCCTACAAAATGAAGTCCAAAGCTTGAGGGACTCCTGATTCCCTTCCACTTCCTTTTCTGGCTTGACACTCCAGTGTCCTCACACAGGAACCCTCACTCCCCTGAAACTGATGGGTTTCGTGTCCTAAAGCATGCTTTCTCCTCTTCTGCTGGCCTTAGCTCAGTCCCTGCCTGGATTCAGGAATGGAGTCCTTTCTTATTTCTCTATCAAATTCCTACTGTTTTGTGAAGGCTCAACTCAAATCCTGTTTGGCATATCTTCAGGTCCAAGTGGGAGATGCCTTCCTCTTTGGGATTCTGATTTTAAGCCGCTGTCTTGTACATTTGCAGCATTTTGAATCTCCTTGTGTCCTGCATCCCTGACAAGGTAATAAGCTGGGGAGGCCAGGCTTGTGCCCCACCCACTTCCTGGAATCCTCTAGACCTGTGTCTTTGCATATCAACATTTGTTCTTCATAACAGCGATCACAATGACAATAATAAGCCTTTCGTCCTTCTCTGCATTATCATTTATGATTGTGGTCTCCTGGCCTTCCCTTGAGTCCCCAGAGAGTTTTCGTGGGTTTGCAAGTGGTATTTTTACCATCATGGTTTCCAAGCTGGAAGTGAGAAAATAGCATGTTCTTCTTAAACACACAAGAGTCTTCCCCTGTGAGATTTAGAAGACCAGAGACGGGAAAGGAAATCCTGTTTTACTACAATTTTTATCAAGTAGAGTAACATTTCACCAGAAAATAATACTAAAAAGTTGACTGTGGATATTTCTGTGTCAATTAAGTTTGCCTGTCTCAGGGGAAGGCTGCTGGCTGCCACTCCACAAGTTTGGATCATTTTAAAAATGCAAACTGAGTGCTAGCACTCACTTTTTGTTTGCTTTAACTTTCCTGAACTAATACACACTATGCTAAGATAATCAGGACCCTAGAAGGCTGTGCCCACAGTTGCTGAGTACTCTCTTGCGTCAGCCCCAGTTGGAAGTTGTCTGATTACATTGTGGCGTCTGGCTAATAGTCTGAACTAATCAAGACAACTCAGAAGGAGGGAGAAGCTCATTAATCTGGTTGTGCTCATTTCTTAATGTCCTGAGCCCTGGAGTGTTTGCTATTTTTGTGTATTCTTGAGTGAGTAAATGAAGAGAGAAGAGAAGAGCTGTCTCTATGATGCTTACGAGGTATTTGATGGGAGGCTGACAGCGGGATGCTTCTGTGACGTATGTGAGGACAGCGACGTTCCCCTATATCAGTTCTGGTCTTCAGGCAGCATTGCATCAGCGGGAGAGTTCTAGGGTGGGGGGAGTCTGTGAAGGATGAAGGGGAAGCAGCCAGGCAAGGCTGGCGTCTGTCAGAGGAGAGAGACGGGGTACTGGGTGGAAGAGCTCAGGTGGCAGCACCACCTAAGAAAGTCTTAGCGGGGCATGGGCGCACCCCCGAGCCAAGGTCCAGCAGTAGAGGATACCTGTGCTTGGCAGAAGTGACCTGGTCCCAGTGCCCAGCTGTGCTCATTCAGTGCCGGGGACAGCCCAGGGGATGCATGGTCTTGGCAAGACGGCTGCAGTGGGAGCCATCTGTCACCTGGGTCCCCATGGCAGGTGCCCTCCATGGCCACACAGAACCCCTCCTGCATGTGTGTGAGGACACCACTCCCAGTGCTTGAGAGCCTCTTTCAGAAGGGAAACACAGAAGAGACAGGATAATGGGACAACCACTGCCTGCCACACATTGGCCTTGGGGACCACCTGAGCCCACCATCCTCTATGGAGCTGCCACTTATTCAGGTCTTAGTGGCTGCACCAGTTTGCTGTGGCTGCCATAATAAAGCCCCACAAGCTGGTGGCTTAAAACAGCAGTGACTCCCTCGCAGTCCTGGAGGCCAGAAGCCTGCAACCAAGGTGTGAGCAGGGCCAGGCTCCCTCAGATGCCTTTGTGGGAGGATCCTCCTTTGGTGGCAGCATCACTCCAGCCTCTTCTGTCTTCTGTCTATGGCTTTGTCTCTCCTCCTCTCATGAGGACACCAGTCATCTTAGATCAGGGCTCATCCTCGAGGCCTCATCTCAACTTCATTCCATCTATAAAGACCCTGTTCCGAGTCAGATAACATCCTCAGGCATCAGGGGTTAGGACACGAATGCATCTTGTTGGGTAACACACTTCAACCCATCACAGGGGCACAACTGGTGGTGTGGGCAGTGTGGGCCCTCAGCTTTCATCCCTTCTCAGGCCAGGGCTGCTGCATATTTCTAGCTGCAGTTGTTTGGGATGGCAGAGGGGCTGCCTGACTCCCGTGTGCATTCTTCCCTGTCCCATTGTGGAAAAGCAGCTCTTTTCCTGCTGGCAAGGCCATGCCCTCACCAAGACGGTGGCTCCAATTCTCACGGCTCGTCCCTGGACACGAGCAGTACGCAGCAACAAGACAGGAGCCACCGCTGTGGCAGAGGGGCTTGGCCCTCCCATCCTGCAGATCCCAGAGCTGCGGAGGCGGGAGGTAGGATCTCCTTCAGTTGGTCAAGAGGAGTGATGTGAGGGGGTCCATGCCTGCTTTCACCCCTTGCTCGCTCCCCAACCCAGGTGTTCCCCCTACCCAGGACTCACTGGCATAAGGAGGGCTCTGATTGAGTGCACACACTATGTCCTTGCAGGCTGTTGTCTCCAAGCTGCTCTGTGACAGTGCCTGAAGCAGGCTGTTCCAGAGCTCTGGGGGGCCGCTGTCGCTGGGTAACGTGGGATGTAACATAACCAATGGATTCCATGGTCATGGGGCTGCCTTCCACCTCCGTAGCTGTGAGGAGAGCCCTCCGGTCAGGTGTAAGTCAGTGTCACTTGGCGCTGGGTGATGCTATGCCGACAAGAAAGGCAAACCCGTGCCCACAGATCCTCATCAGCCAGCTCCTGCCTGAGGGTCCCGTGTGGCTCATCCGGGCTGCATCATTTCAAGACAAGTTTGGCTGTTATCAACTCAGCAGTCAGAGCAGGTGTGAGGGCAGCTCCTCTGGGACCAGCACTCCTTGCTTTGCAGGGAGAGACCTCTGCAGTGAGTTCCCATGGGCAGCATGTCAGCTCTTGCTAGGGAGGGCAGCAAAGACTGCGAGCTTTGAGACTGCAGGGGTTCAGCAGAGCTCAGCTGCTCAGGGCCATTCACCCAGACGTCCCAATCCTATGTTTTAAGATTCTCTAGGTTTTCCCAACCAAGACATCCACCTTAGCATAACCCCTGACTTGACTGAGCACGTAAACATCTCTGGAGCTCTGCAACTCTAGCCTTCAAGCCCTGAGGTGCGTCTTCTGTTCCACTGCAGAAACTCTTAGCAAGCTACCCAAGAGGTCTCCTGGCTCTCACACGCATCCTCTAATTGCCCATCTGCAGGTCATCCTTACAGCTGAATAAAAGCCAGCCAACTCCACTGGGCCCTGCACGTCTTTCATACGTTGGTGTCATCACAAAAGCAAAGATCTTCCCTTCCCCAAGACAGTTCCTCAAGTCCCTGTCAGTGAGACACTCAGTCAGGGGTGCCACCAGGTGCCAGGCACTATGCATGCCCCCCACCTTCCACTCAGCATGTGGTCTTCCTTGTCAGGCATGGGAGGCGGAGGTTGTGGTGAGCCACTGCACTCCAGCCTGGGCAACAAGAGCAAACTCCGTCAAAAAAAAAAAAAAAAAAAAAGCCAGGGAAGGATCTGGAGTACGTGAAGTAAGTATCTCAGAAGAGACGATCTTCCCATGGTGCGGGGGATGGATTCCAGTCAGGCAGGCAGTTTAGAGGCAGTTACAGCCACTGGCGAGGGTCCTGCTGAGGAAATGGGAGGAGTGTGATGGCGGAAATAGAGAACAGTGAGAAAGGAACAGCTGTCCCAGATATTCCAAAGGAAAAAACGACAGAATTCAGTCACTGCATACTAAGGGAAAAGGTGAAAGATGAGTTTAAAATGACTGAGAATTTGCATAGGGTAAAGTTGGAAAATATGTTCCATTGATACAGAGTTGGCCTAAAATTGGCTTCATGACAAAAAACTGTGGGGGTTTGAATTTGTTGGTTCATGTTTCTGAAAAGCCCGAGGGTGGATCAGGCACAGGTTGATTCAGGGACTGAAAAGTTCTTCTGGGCCCGCCCCTTTCCTCTGTTTGTGTTCTTGTGGGCTTTCTTCTGGCCCCAGGTGGAGGGTGACATGCTGCCACTACGTCCACCAGCCCCAGTGCTGACAACAACATAATAGGGCCTGTCCCCAGGAGCTCTCGTGGAAGCCCAGAGAGCCACTCAGACCGGACCAAGTGGGTCCACACGACGGCTGCTCCTGGGCCCATTATGTATTTAGGGAGCCCGCGGACCCCTTTGGATCACATGGGCAAGCCTGGAGGCTGGAACCCCCAACCGAACCCCATGGATTGAGGTGGAGGGAGGCACAGTTCCCCAAAGGAAAATCCGGATACTGTCTCAAGAAGGAAAGGTGATGGGTAGACAAATGAAAAACAAAAACAAAAACAAAAACAAAAAAACAACACCAAAAAAAACATGAACCCAGGAGGCGGAGGTTGCAGTGAGCCGAGATCGTGCCATTGCACTCCAGCCTGGGCAATAAGAGCAAAACTCCATCTCAAAAAAACAAAAACAAAAACAAAACAAAACAAACAAAACAGAAACAAAAAAAACCCCAGCCACCATAGGGAGGGAGAAAGTTGAGCTGATTATTAAGAAAAGAAAATGGTTCACACGGAATGAACTGGGGTGTGGGTGAAGGCATCTTCCGCATGTGGTTAACAACTGATGTGATCCTGGAGAAGCCACACTTTAAGTGGAAGTCCTGTGTTTCAGAATTTCAGCTGAAGCCCTAGAGCTGAAAACAACAGACAATAAAAACTCTCACATTCTAAAGAGGGGAGCCTGTCACAAATGGAGCAGGGAAAGGAAGGTTCCATGAGCATCATCCTGAATACCCTCCCCAAGGAAAATTGGATGTGTGGAGGGGGAATCTCAGCCAGGGAATCTGAAGGTGTGAGTGTGAGCTGAGCATTTTCTCTCTTTTTTCCTATAAGGTATGGAGTCAGGATGTTCTTTCTTTCCAATTCTGTCCAAGCTGAATGCAAGAGGGGAGGGTGGGAAGAGACAGCAAGAGAACATAACCATACAGTGTGGAAATGGCGTCAAGAAGAGACTGGTCTCTCACAATACACTGGAGAGCTTGCTCAACTACAGAATCCTTAGGCCCCTCTAGGGTCCCCCAGAGGAGGGGCAAAGTGGCAGAGTGCATGTGCCAGTCTAAGGCAGTGCCCCAGAGAGGGGGATGCATGGAATTAGGCATTGGTTCCTCAGTCTCACCTCAAGAATGCTTAAGAGGGAGGCTGGCTCATGCAGACAGAGAGGGGGTGATGCGGGGGGCAGGGGGTGGCCTATTCTGATACCTTGTGGGGGTAAGGTTGTGGGGCATCTCTTGGTCAAGTGCAGACTGCAGAAGATGGCTGGTGTGGAGGCCTCTTGAGACACCCTGTCCAAGAGGACCACCTGCCGGAAGGAGGGTCCCAGGCTGGAGGCTACAGCACCCTGCTGGGTAGAGGCAGCACTGGCGAGAGAGGAGTCTGCTGAGAATGCATTTCCTGGACTGGAGATCAGGTGGGACAGACACCGTTGAAGCGGTCTCCAAAAATCCCAGAGGGGCCTCTAAAAGAGCCCCTGTGTATGGCCACCTGACTGCCAAATCAGTGTGCCCCAACCACCAATGACATGACCTCTGGGCAAAACTCCAGGATAATGTGAACCACTCGAGAGACTGAAATTTAGGTCTCAATTGGAGTAGAAATTTTATCATATGAAAACTAAAGACACCTGTAATCCCAGCACTTTGGGAGGCCGAGGTTGGTGGATCACTTGAGGTCAGGAGTTCGAGACCAGCCTGGTCAACATAGTGAAACCCTGTCTCTACTAAAGATACAAAATTAGCCAGGTATGGTGGTGTATGCCTGTAACCCCAGCCACTTGGGAGGCTGAGGCAGGAGAATCGCTTGAACCCAGGAGGCGGAGGTTGCAGTGAGCTGAGATCGTGCCATTGCACTCCAACCTGGGCAACAAGAGTAAAACTCCATCAAAAAGAGAGAGAGAGAGAGAAAACTAAATAAAGAGTCCTAACGTTTAATGACTGGAAAGTAATGGCATCTGCCCCATCCAAGGACTAGGAGTGGGGATCCCACAGCTCATGTGTAGGAGAAGCACAAAGCCTTTTCTGGATAGTGTGCCAGTCAGTGAGTCCAGCCCGCTCAACACCCAGTCACCCTGCACCTGAGTGTGGGACATTCCTGTTACTCTGTGCCCATGAACAATCTCCAGACCCGCCTCAGAGTCCATGTCCTCTCCAGAGCCTGCCTTCGCCTTCCTCTTTGTCTCTTCTTTCCAACTCCTTGGCCTGAGCCATTGCTGCTGGTAGAAATAACATTGCCATTCCCTTCTTGAGGACTGTGTCTTCTGTGATTAGTGTCTAAGTTTTTCAAGGACTCTTGGCCTGGTGCATTTGTGTGTAACCACATGGAGAACATGGAGCTTGGACTATGGCTGATAACACTTTTGGGAAGGAGGTCAAGGACAGGATTAGAGGGCAGTAACCCAGGGCCCAGGAACTAGATGGGGCTCTCATCCATCAGATGCTGATGCTAGCAGGAAGAGCCCTGGGCAGCAGGAGACCGCGATCCATGCCTGCACGCTCAAGTCACCTCACCTGCTGGCCCCGGCTTTCATGGGGGCAGTTGTCTGGATTTTTCAGGAGCTGCTTTCTCAGACTGTTTGCAATCTGCTTTTTGATAGAATGGACACAAAACATATCGGAGACATGACATTCATTTTCTTTCAGGAGTTCAAGGTAATGTTATATTCTCTAGGGGAAGAAGGTACAGTAATGAATGTCTCTTTCTGTTTGTCATCGATTATTTTGAGTTGATTTGACACAGCTGACACCTTCGAGTTTCCACTGAGGCCGTTTAACAATAGGGAGCTCAAGGACCTTGGGTATTCCAGGAAATGTGTCAGCGTGTTTTCTGCTCTCTTTCTACACAGGTCAAAAGTCCTTTTGAGACTTTTCGCTCCTTTCTTCTTCTTCTTCTTTTTGTCTTTCTTTTTGAGAGGCTAGACAGATTTTTGAAAGCTTCCTCTAAACTATGCAATTGGGTACATGTTCAAAAGCGAGACCTTATTTCTTGTGAGAACTTTGTTGCCCTCCCTCTCTTGTCATCCGTCAGAAGCGCAGAGCTTTTTCGGAAGCTTTGACCGTGAAGGATCACAAATTTGTTTCTCAAAGGCCCCTCCGCTGGCTCCTCCGGCCTCACGAGTCCCGTTCCCCGTGTGCTTCTGTCCTTGCCCAGCAGACACCAGCCCCGCGCAGGCCAAACTGGCTCCGTTCCCCCTTTCATTCTTGTCCCTCTTTTCAATCTTTCTCTACTTTTTATGCAAAAAAAAAAAAAAAGTGTACCAGGCCCGGCGTTGCCATGGCAGTCATGGGGCTGCGTGCGGGCCTTCAGTGGATTTGAGCTCTAAACTTGGAAAAAAGTCATAATGCCCTCAAAGAAGCTGGAAGGAGAGAAAGAAAGAGGAGAAAAATAAAACAGGGAAACAGCCTGAGAGGGAGAGATCAGGAGAAAGCAGGGCAAAGCCCCGAAAATACATTCGAGGTGACATCACTGCCTTTCCCACAGAGGCCATTGACTTGGGAGACCGCCCGGCCAGTGGCTGCCCTAAAGCCGGCTCTCCAGGGCCGCGGAGCCTTCGCTCCCTTCCTGAATGCCTTTTTTGTTGGGAAACAGTGGACTGTTTCTGAAGGCCTGCATAAATGACTGAGTAATTCACTGCAGTTGCCAGGAAGTCGGAGCCACTTGTGAGCTAACAATAGTGAACTTTATCTCCCGCCCCATGCTGGAAGTTCCAGCTGTAGGTCCCGAATTCTAATAAGGGCTTTGCTCATGCCTCTGAGGTTATGGTAATATTTTATCCATCTTTCTTCATGAAGACACAGTCGCTGCTGCTATTGACAACCGGAGGCCAGCACTGAGGAGTGACGTGGGCAGGGGGCCAGGGGTGAGGGTGCCTGTGTCGGGGAAGATGGTGAAGAAAATTCAGAGGAAGGAGGAAAGAAAGCGGTGTTCCTATGAGCTCGACATGTTTTCTGTTTAATAGGAGACTCTAAACTGACGTAGAGGAGAGAAGAGAAAGATTTCACTCTGACCCATAAGTGGCTGGAGCGGAAAGATGGCTTCGGACATTTCCCGTGTTTCAGACGCTGCTCCTCCTCCTCCTCCTCCTCCTCAGCAGACGAACCGGCAGCCGAGGCTGATCACGTGCTCAGAATTAGTGTGAGGCTATGAGGTTCCTCTTTGCTCCCCCGTTTGTGGGCAAAGCCGATGTGTATTATTAAGTGATTCTGTATCCAGGTATCAGAGACCCCAATACCTTCTTTACATGATCGTTCTTAGCTAAGGGAAAACTAAGAATTTGCTCACTTCCTGCCTTGTGGGTTCTAAGGACACACCCCAACAAGTTCCTGTGAAGGGGGGCTGGGTCACTGACCCCCTGAGCAACCCCGGAAGGACAATTTCTAGGGCCTGGTTACAGAGATGACAGGTGGCTTAAGAAGTCACTGTGTGCCACGTGCTTTCATGATTATTGTTTCAGTTAATCTGCACGACAACCCTGAGAGATAGTCATATTTTTCCATTTTGGATGTACCCGGCTAGTGTTCATGGTGCCCTGTTGCCTCTGCAGCAGAGCGCCGCATCCTCAGTTACTCAAGTCCCCGTTCAGGTTTCTCATGACCGTGGCTTCTTGTTGAGGGAGAAGTAGAAAAAAATGAGTAAAAAGGGATTGGGGAATCTCGTGGGTGTGGGGGAGGATGGCGCGGGCCTGATTCTCATCTGCCTGCACAGCCTTCCCACGAAAATAAACCAGTGAAACCACCTGTGAGCCACACGTGCAGTTCACAAGATGACAGAGGACACCACAATCTGCAAGATTACTTCAACACAGAGAAGGAGACCAAATTTCAGCTAAGCCCCTGTCACCACCACTGGGAGCTTCTGGGCAAGGGGTCCGCAAGGTTTATGTGACTTTGTGGAAAAAAAAACAAACAAAAACACAGGATGAGGGTGCCTTAGATGAGGCAAAGACCATCTGGCCTCAAAAAGAAAAATCCATTCCTGGATGCTGAAGGACTGGTGATGGATGGCTCAGGCCTTGGTAGTTCAGAGCAACAGCCACCTGGAAGGGACTTTGAACATGAGTCAGGCAGGAAGAGGCAGCCCCAGAGGTGGGCTTCTCCTGGAGAAGATGCACAAAGAAGGAATGGAAACCACCAGGGACATGTCACGAAGGAGAAGGGAGGAACCGAGGGGGACCTACAGAGATGAGAGATGACAGCATAGCAGACCCAGCAAACCATCTCTTTCCCTCCATCATCACTACCACCATCCACCAAGGAAACCAAACCAAAGAAGACAGATGTACCAAAAAGTGCACTCTCATGTTAGAAATCACACCCATGAAATGAACAGGAAGAGAAAATGTGGACCACATTCACAGGAAACTGTAATAAGAAAATAGAAAATGTGAACCAACAGATAGAAGCTGTGAAAAAAAAATCAAGCATGAAACAGAAGAAAATTGTCACAGAAGTATCAAAACTGAATTAAATAGACACAAAAAAGAATTTGAAGATAAGGAAATACTTTAGATCGAAAATTTAAAAATAAAAATAGAGGCAGGAAACAGAACAAAAAAATAAAACAAGAGTTAAGGAAATGCAAGGACAGAAAAGAGAGTAAAATGTTAGAATCTTAAAGGAAATGAAGGCTAAATTACCAAAGATGACCAAAGAAGAATAGACTCAAATAAAAGCTTAATAAGGGTCATGGAAAAATTAAGAAACACAATCAAGAGGATAACATAAAGATATAAAGAAGATGGATAAAAAGAGTGAAAGAGAAAATGGTTGAAATGTTGGAGAAGAAAGATGCAACATTTGTGCTGGTTACTTTTATGTTTCAACTTGGTGAGGCTGTAGAAACCAGTCACTTAAACACTAACCCAGGTTTTGCTGTGAAGGTGTTTTGTAGATGTAGGTTAACATCTATAATCAATTGACTTTAAAGTAAAGAAAGTAACTCTGGATAAGGTGGTGAGCCTCACCTAATCAGTTGAGGAAGTAAGAGAAAAACCTGAGGTTTCCCAGAAAAGAATAAATTGTGCCTCAAGTTTGCAGCATCAACTCTTGGTGAGTTCCCGGCAGTTGGTCTGCTTTGCACATTTTTCTCATGCCAGCGTCACAATCGTGCAATCTACTTCCTTCAAACAAATTTTCATGTATCCTATTGTTTATCTTTTCTCTGGAGAACCCTAATACAATATGTGTATGAGTGTGCATGTGTGTGTGTGTGTGTATGATTGAAATCTCTGAAGAAAAAAAAAACAACGTGGTAGAGCTAATATTTAAAATTATAATTCAAGAAATAAAAAAATAAAACACTGTATTAAAAAATCTGAGTTACATTTAAAGCAGCAATAATAGAAAATTTATGCCCTAGCATCCATGTCAATAAAAATAAAAGAATGAGAAAAAAGACTTGCAATCCTAAGTAAAAAAAAAGAAAGAAAACAACAAAGAAAAACAAAAGATTTAATAATAATAATAGAGAAATGTGATAAAAACAGAAAAAGACTGCATTAAATAACTTTTGAAATAATAATGAACAAAAAACTCTAGGTAATTTAATAAAAAAAAGGGGGCAAAACTTTAAAAAATAAAATATAACAAGGAGTAAAATGACTATCCACTCAGGAAAAAAAAACCTTTAAAAATTTTAGACTACTTTTATGCCAATACATTTATAAAGACTGATGAAGTGGGTAATTTCTGCAGTCAAATGTTTTACCTCTGAGCTATACTGCAAGCTGTGAAGTGGGTAATGTATTAATAAAATATAGTTTACCAAAATTCACCTTAGTAAACTGAAAGCTTGATCAATTTCCATAGAAGACATAGAAAAATATATTAAGCACTGCTCTTTAATAAAACACCATACCAAACAGTTTCAGAGGGGAGTGCTTCGACACCTTTAGAGACTCACTGGCCCCACTACATACCTTGTTTTAAAATATAGAAAATGAAGAGGAACTTTCCAGTTCCTTTTATGAAGAATGGATGACATTGATAGCTGAGCTTAATAAAAACAGCACAACAAAGGAAGTTAGAGATCAATTTCACTATTCATACTGATTTAAAACTGCAAAATAATTCACCATGACCATGAGTAATTTTATATCAGAATTCAAAAACAGTTCAATATTAGGAAATCTTATTAGTATATTTTACCACACAATGAAATCTAAGGAGAAAAATGATATAACTATCTCCAGATATGCAAAAAATAGCCTTTGACAAAATTTAACTTCATTTATAATAGAATCTCTAGAAAAAAGTCAAAATGCAAATCCCTAATATGACAAAATGTATTATTTTCATAAAAGATTAAGAAAGAAAGAAATTATTAAGATTCTGAAATTAGGATTGAGATATGCACATATATATTCCTATATATACATATATTTTATGTAATATTTTTTATATATATCTCTCTCCCAATCCTAATTCCAGAATCATTCCAATTAGGAAACACTAGAAATATTCCAGTTAAGGTTAGAAACAAGGCAAGGATTCCTATTATCATCATGTAACTAGATTACAGAATCGAAGGCAAAATAATTGGTGAAAATAAATAAACTATCTTTTTCAAGTGACATGATAGTATACCTGGAGAATCCCAGAGAATTAATGATAAAACAAACTTAAGTGAAAACATTAAGCAATTAGCAGAATATAAAATTAACATGCAATAATCAATAGCCTTTATATACATAAATAACCAACTAAAAGATAAATAATAAAGTCACAATTACAATAGTAATAAAGGATAAACTACATAGAAGTATAAAAGTATTACTTAAAACCTATCTCAGGAAAACCATAAAACATCCCAGAAAGCCCCAATAGGAGACGATGATGTTTCAGTATTATAAACATAACAATCCTTCCCATGTTAATTTCCAAATATTATGCATTCTCAGTTACACACACACCCACACACTCACGAAGCGAAACAAGTTGATACTCAAGTTCACAAAAAAACCTTGAAAAGGAAGAGGTAGTGTGTGTTAAGACTATAAGGTGGAAGGAGTGTGAGAATTGAGAAATTCCCTATTGGGTACCGTGGCTCATTACCTGGGTGCTGAAATAATCTGTACACTAAACATGCAATTTAACTCTGTAACACGCTTGTGCACATGCCCCCTGAGCCTAAAAGTTGGAAATTAAAATAAGAGATACTCTAAACCTTCTATAATTAAAGCAGCATGGACATATTTCCAAAAGGACGAGCAAATGGCGTAGAACAAATGGTGCGTATGAGTGTAATATGGAGGCACATATCCAATCACTGGGGCAAAAATGGACTTTCACAGAAATAAAATAAGTGATATCAGAGTAACTGGACAGTTATTGAGAAAAGATGAAATTAGATTCATTTCTATCCTTCATGTAAGAAAGGATTTCTAACAATTCAAAATCCAGGTGTCATAAATGAAAAGATTGATGTTTGCTTACATTAAAACAAACTATTTGCATGGAAAAAAGCACCATATACTAGGTCAACAGGCAAATGACGAACTGGGAAAGAGCACAGATGAGGGCTATGTACCTATTATACAAAGAACTTGGGTATATTGGGGAAAAAGGACAAAAAGTCTTATAGAAAAGTGGAACAAGTCATTCATGAATAGAAAATCCACAGAATAGATATTAAAATGGCACTTCCATGTTAAAGAGGTTTAACTTCGCTCATAATAGGAGAAATGCAGCTTAAAACTGTACAGAAGGGTCAGGCCAGGTGGCTCACGCGTGTAATCCCAGCACTTTGGGAGGCCGAGGCGGGTGGATCACGAGGTCAGGAGATCGAGACCATCCTGGCTTACATGGTGAAACCCCGTCTCTACTAAAATACAAAAAAAAATTAGCCGGGCGTGGTGGCGGGCGTCTGTAGTCCCAGCTACTCGGGAGGCTGAGGCAGGAGAATGGCGTGAACCCGGGAGGCGGAGCTTGCGGTGAGCCGAGATCGCACCACTGCACCCCAGCCTGGGCCACAGAGCGAGACCCCGTCTCAAAAACCACCACCACCACCACCGCCAACAACAAAAACTACAGAAGGACCATTTCTCACCCATCCGTTGGGAGAAAATATGGAAGCTTGACAATTCACGCTGCTGACAAAACTGTCTGGTAACATGCACTGCTAGCTGGAATTTAAAATGGTTGGTGCAAAAGTAATTGCGGGTTTTGCCTTTACTTTTAACGTAAAACAGTAATTGCAGTTTTGCCATTACTTTTTTTTTTTTTTTTTTTTTTTTTTTTTTTTTTTTGAGACGGAGTCTCGCTCCGTCGCCCAGGCTGGAGTGCAGTGGCGCGATCTGGGCTCACTGCAAGCTCCGCCTTCCGGGTTCACGCCATTCTCCTGCCTCAGCCTCCCGAGTAGCTGGGACTACAGGTGCCCGCCACCACGCCTGCCTATTGTCATTACGTTTAATGGCGAAAACCACAATTACTTTTGCATCGATCTAATACAATTCCTATGGAGGGGAATTTGGCAGTTCTAAAAACAACTACATATGCATTTGTTCTTCAACCCAGAAATCACACTTCCAGAAATTTACTCTGAAAATATATTTCAAATAATACAAAAAGAAGGCATATGATTATTCACTGCAGCCATATTCACATTATAAAATTTAGCAACTACCTAAATGTCTATACAGTACTCCCTTCTTATGGATGGTTTCATTGTCTGCATTTTCAGTTATCCATGGTCAATAGTGATCCAAAGATATTAAATGGAAAATTCCAGAAATAATCCTTACGTTTTATTTGTGCTCCATTTTGAGTTGCTGATGAAATCATGCACTCTCCTGCTTCGTCCTACCCGGCAGGTGAATTATCCCTTTGTCCAGCGTCTGCACACTGTTTAAGCTACCTGCTAGCCACTTAGTAGCCATCTCTATTATCAGACCGACTGTCGTGGTGTCTCAGTGCTTGTGTTCTAGTAACCCCTATTTTACTTAATAATGGTCCCAAAGCGCAAGAGTAGTGATGCTTGCCAATTCAGACTAGAACGAATCTTCTATCCAGGAAATTGTTAATTGTTATAATTGTTCTGTTTTATAATTATTGTTAATCTCTTCTTGTGCTTAATTTATAAACTAAAGTTTGTCATAGGTATGCATGTATAGGAAAAAACATAGTGTGTATATAATCGGGTACTATCCACGGTTTCAGGCATCCACTGGGAGTCTTGAAATGAATCCCCTGAGGATAAGGGGAGGTACCGTACATAAGAGATGGATTTTATAAACTATGCTATATCTACACAATGGAGTGATGTGAACTGGGAAAAAATGATAGACCTCTAAGAATGGAGAAGGGATTATTTCCTTTTGTTTTGTTAGTGAAAACACAAAGTGTAAGAAAGAAGAGATAATAAGTGACATCAATCTGATGATCTGTGCGAGCATTAAAATGTCACGGGTAAGCCGGAGAACAATGAAGTTTGTTACCTATATTGAGAGGGACAAGTAGGGCTGAAGAGATACAGGAAGAGACTACCTTTTTGTATAGTTGAGATTTGAAGGTATGTTAATATTCTTCGTATTCAAAAAATTAAAATGGAAACAAGAATAATGAGGAAATAGAATTGAAACGGAAGCAAATTAATGCAACTGCTTTTAAGACGAATAACACAATGGTTGGGGAGAAGATAGTCAAGTAACTTATGAATAAAATGTTGACTATATACCTAAACTCTTTTCAATAGTTTACTTTTTGTGGTGGTATAGGCAAATCAATTCTAAAACTGTTTTAGATCTATTATGGGATTGACCAAATAAGTAATTGGATTGATGTTAAACCATGCTTGTTACAGTGAAAAAATCAATAATATGTTTATTCTGTAATATTATGTATGATATGAAGAAAGTATATATTATCTATCTATCTATATCTATCTATTGATCTATCACCTACTGTATGATGGCCTTGCTACCAAAGAATCCAGCAGAAGTATTAATTCATTATAGTCTACATCTTAGGAGCAGAGCAGCTCTGTAGAACTCTACCTGCTGCCTTGAGAAGTACATTGATTTCATCAATTTTACTGATGCTGATTCACTTTTGAATTGAAAGGCTTGATTTGCTGATATGTTTTTAGAATCTTAGACTTTTAGAGATGAAATTTCTTGTTCACTCTTTTCTAAAATGTTGGGAAGGATTATCTGTTCCTGAAAATTTAATAGTAACCAAAGCTTTATGTCTCCATCTACCTGGAATGTCATTGCAGTGTAAAAAAAAAAGACAACCAAGTGTCTCTTTTCAGGATCACTTATGATCCTGAACAGTGGAGAAGTTTCAACCAAGACAAACACCTTCTTTACATTTGGTGCAAGGCTACAACTCTAGAGCAGGACAAAAGACAGAATTAACATGACCATGCTTTAAGAGACATACTTTCAGGATAACTGCAAACTAATCAAGAAGTGATTCTTTAACAGTTAAATCAACTTCAGAAATCCAGGTGAATGAGGAACTGTGAATACATAGCTCTCCACACTCCCTATTGAATTTCAGTGAAGACGGCCAATGTGTGAAACTAAAGAAGGGTTAAACTTTGAAATCCCTTCAGATTGAAGTAGTAACTGATTCATTTCCCTCTCATAAAAATAGAAAGACCAGTGAATAATGACCACACCAAGGGGGAATCCTTTTTCTTTTTCCCTCATCACTTATCTTTCAATGCCCACTCTAGCCCATCACATTTTGAGGCTTTTACTGGTGTGTGTGTGTGTGTGTGTGTGTGTGTGTGTGTGAAATGGCACATGGGTGTTCATGGCATGTGGTCAACAGCACAGAATGGACAGGTGGCTGATGCTCCATCCACAGTATCGTCAGACCCAAGGTCAAATTCCACTCTATCCATAGCGTTTTCTGCAGAATTTCTTTTTCTAAATTGGAGCACTTACCTAACAGAGAGATCCAAATAATTTTTAATTTGGAAATCCCAGCCATGCTTATACATTAACATATATGATGCTTCATACAATGTATGCCCATGACCACATTAGTACATATACCAAAATTTTTCAGAATATGCTGGCCTTTTTGTTACTGCTAATTTTTCTTTTAAATTTGACGCAGATCATCACATCTGTCTTGGAGACTCCTTACACCAATATAAATGAACATATTTATGTTCACTTATTTAACAGCAAGGAATAAAGTTCTTCAGAGTAGAATGGGAAAAAAAAAAAAAACAGTAAAATTTACAAACTCTACCAAGAAGCACATCTTGCTTTGTGTCTCTTGTGGGAGGGATTATTAACAAGAAAATGCTATTAAAATTGGTTGGTTTTACCCACAAGGTAATATTATACTAGCTTTTGTTGTTTTGCTGCTTTATCTATGTTTTTTTCTTCTTGGATAGTCTAGAGTTTTGCCTCCTATTATCAGTTTTTTTTTTTTACTTTCTCCATCTGCTTTCAAGATTTCGTATCTTTTTAGTCTTCTTTTTTGTTTTTAAAGAGCTTGGCTGATTTTCTCTTTTGTTTATCTTTCTGCCTTTGAATTCAGTCATAGAAACTGACTGAGCTTCTATGAGTTCTTACTAATAGCTATGCTAATCATAAAAAAAGTTTAGCATTTTCAATTCTGCTTTCTTCCTCAGGAAAATCTTTCTCTAGAATTACTGATACTATGAGGTTGCAAAAATAGCAGCCTTGGAATATATACGTGTGTGCATGTGTGTGTGCATACACACACAATTTATATACATTTAATCTCTTGGTCTTGGCCTATTTCAGATGATAGTGGACTTAGTACTAAAATGGCCAACAGATAGTCCTTGAAGAAGAAAGAACAGAATTGAGGAAGAGACTCAGAGTGTCATAAACTGGAAATTTGGTTGTTGGCAGTTGATGGAGGCAAGCTCTACAAAGTGGGTTTATCGAATGGAAAAAGGATGAAATGAAGAATAGAGAAAAACTATACGTTATTCTGATTGACTTAAATTTACATGAATGTAGATTCAAAATATTTGTAATTTGTGATCGTCCATAAGTTAGGATAAATTCAGAGCCTCAGCAGAGTTTCAGCACATGAGAAAATATGCTCTCATCTGTTCTGAAAGTGGTTTCGTCTGTGCCCAAGACCATGTGGAGACCAGAACTGAATCACTTGGCCATGGCCTCAGGGTGCAGGACCGTGTGACCTCATTGTGCATTGAGCTGGAATTCCTGACCTGTTGGGGTCTGATCTTAGTCATGTGTTCATCCATTTATCAAATAAGATTACTCAATAGACATCAATTCCATGCCTTTTATGTACCATGCACTTCCTGATTGCAGGCTTGGAAAAGGTGGCAGATCTTAGAGATAATTCAAAAAGTAGAAAAGACAGTGCTTGATAGTTTATTGGATGTGGGAGTGAAGGAGGGGGAAGGCTTGAGGATGACTCTGGCTCACCAGGAGATAAATAGGTGGGTGATGATGCCATGCAGGGAGATGGACACAGCAGAGTGGAGGACATCATGAGTTTGGTTTTCAGCCTGCCAAGTGTGAGATGCTGGTGGTATTTCTAATGGGGAATTCTAGTAGGCGTTTAGACATACTGAGCTGAAGCTCTGCATAGAAAAATAGCAGCCATGAGCAAATAAAGAGTAATTAAAGCCAAAAGTGTGTATACATCTCCAAAAGCAAGAAAAGAAAAGGTTCAGATGAAACCCTCCAGGAAAGCAAAAAAAAAAAATGTTCTCCCTCCTCCCCAGAAAGAAATAAATAGATGGTGAAAGCAAATCCTGTTGATGAAGGTGAGAAAAAAGTAGGAGGACAACCAGGAGATCATGGTGTTCAGGAAAACCAGGGAAGAAGGCATCCAAAGAATAAAAGAGTGGGCAACAGTGCAAAATGTTCTAGAGGGACCAAATAAGTGCAGGCCTGGAAAGGATCACTTGAAGGCCTTGGCTGTCATGGGTGATCTTGTCACAAAGGCAGATCCTGAGGGTCAGGTTCAGAGAGGCAGGAAGTTGGTAAACGGTAATAACTGGACCCAGAAAGCATAAATGACTCTTTTGAGAAGTGTTCCTTCTCAAAAGCAACACTTTTGAGAAGGGTAGCTGTATTAGTCTGTTCTCACGCTGCTAATAAAGACATACCCAAGACGGGGTAATTTATAAAGAAAAGAGGTTTAATTGACTCACAGTTTAGCCCAGCTGAGGAAGCCTCAGGAAACTTATGATCATGGTAGAAGGGGAAGCAAACACATCCTTCTTCACATGGTGGCAGGGAAGAGAAGAATGAGTGCCCAGCAAAGGGGGAAGCCCCTTATAAAACCATCAGCTCTTGTGAGATCTGACTCACTATCATGAGAACAGGATGGGGAAACTGCCCCCATATTTTAATTGTCTCCGCCTGGTCCCTCCCACGATATATGGGAATTACAGGAACTACAATTCAAGACGAGATTTGTGTGGGGAAACAGCCAAACCATATCAGTAGCCAAGCAATATCATATTAATTAGAGGGGATTTTGGAATCCAGGGAGGCTGGAGTTTCTGTTGTTGCGTTTTTTTTTTTTGTTTTTTTGTTTTTTTTTTTCACAGTCATGGAGGCTAGAACTGAAGAAATCAAGGTGTCAGCAGGGTTGTGAAGAAGGACTGGCTCCAGGCCCCTCTCTCTGGCTTGCAGATGACTGTCTTCAGGCTCACATAGCATTCTCCAACTTTCTCCTTTTTTTTTTTTTTTCTTGAGACGGAGTCTCGCTCTGTCACCCAGGCTAGAGTGCAGTGGTATGATCGTGGCTCACTGCAAGCTCTGCCTCTTGGGTTCATGCCATTCTCCTGCCTCAGCTTCCCGAGTAGCTGGGACTGCAGGCGCCCACCACCACGCCCGGCTAATTTTTTGTATTTTTAGCAGAGTCGGGGTTTCACCATGTTAGCCAGGATGGTCTCGATCTCCTGACCTCCTAATCCGCCCGCCTCAGCCTCCCAAAGTGCTGGGATTACAGGCATGAGCCACCGCGCCCGGCCTGTTGCTGCTGTTTTGTTTTCTTGTTTTAGATTTTAGAAAGTGGGCTGAAATCCTTCTGCAGGATGGTCAGCTCCAGAAGCCATGTGTTTTATCCACCAACACATCCTCATCAACCTCAGTGCCTGGCACAGAGCTGGTGGTCAATGAATATTTGTTGTGTGTGTGGATATGCAAATGAACACAAGCAAAGCAGGGCAGATGCATAGGAGAAAGGGGTCACTGATGAACGCTCTAGCATGGTGGGTCCTGGTCTGCTCTACTCTGAGTTGGTCCGTGCTGGTCAGTATGGAAACCTCCAGTTACGTTCTAGTCAAGGAGGCCCTGAGGGAATGTCTTCCAGCCCTGTATTCATTAGGCAGGCATTCACGAGGATGATCTTCAAATAACTGACACTTACTGTTCACTCACTAACACAAATTCCTGCAAGTTGGATTTTAGCTTCCTTTATAGATCTCTTGCTGTTTCATATCCTGCATAAACTTTTATTTTCTACTTTACTTGGATAATGTCCTATATCATTCTGCCCTACCTCTCTTTCTCTAATCAAACTGACATCTGGTCCCTTGTTCTCAATTACTTTACTGTAAAGAGAAAAGTCTCCATGGGCGACACTCCGGGAGTCTAGAAACCGTGGTGAGTTCCTTTGACTCACTCTTGCCCCCTTCTGCTGGTTTCTCTGTACCTGCAGGCCTCTGGGCTGGCCTTGTGCTGTTGCATGGTATGGTTAGGCTCTGAGGCTTTTATAAGCACAGGTTCTTCTAGAATTCAGCCTGTCACATATTTGCAGAGTCTCTGTTGATAGAATTGTAGGAAGGGAAACTTGGAAGTTTAGGCATCTATTTCCTATGGGCTTCTAAGCTCAGCTTTGGACCCCACGCTGGGCCTGATGGTTCCCCACTTTCAACTCTAGGAATCTCTTTCTGGCAGACTTCCTCACAACTCCTGCACACTTCCTGCTCCCTCAACAGGAAGCACTGCAAATGAGCTGTCCTCGCGTTCTTTCCGAGTTTCTGCTTCCCTCTAGAATAAGGAAATGCTATTACGCATAGCAGTTGGAAATTAAACAAAAGGAAATGAGCCTAACCAAACAATAATTATCCATCACATACTCACACACACCACACACGGGGAGGTGGGACTGGGGGTTGCAAACGCACACAGCTTTAATGATCATAAAATAGAACCAGGACTACTTGGACTAAAGTGAGTCCAACTTTTCCAGAAGGCAGTATGATGTAAGAATATAGGCTGTGTGTGAGTCATGCTTTGATAATTCAGCTGAGTGACTTTGGACAAGTTATTTGAACTTTCTGAGTCTCAGATGCCTCATATATTTAACGGAGATACCATATGCTCATTGAAGGGATTAAGTGAACGAACTCCTTAAAAGCTCAGCTCGGTGGCTGGCACATCAGCAAAATGCTTATCATTCAGAATAATAATTATTAATTACCCTACTTTGTCTATAGGAAATGGTGATGCTTTAAGTTTATAGAAAATTTATCCTGAGAATATAAAAGGTCATGCTATTTGAAGCAACACTATAGAGAAGACCATGAAGAACAGAATCTGTGTTGAGTTATTGATCTACACATTATACTGGGGAGTGCAATGGATCGTATCAATAACCGTTTGATTCAACTCAGCATATTTTCAGCAACTTCAAGTATACCATTCTGATAGAATTGAGGGCAAAGGTTTTCTCTCTCTCTAATTTATCCAAATATAAAAAACTCTGGGCTTTTTCCATGCAACACAAACACTGGGGTTTTAAATTACATTTTTCAACTCTGATCTAGATATTTGGCACTGTGTAGACAGAGCCTGGAAACTCCTCAAAGGAGTGCAAAACAAGACAAACAGCTTAGCACGAGGATGGATGTTGTGTTTGTCTAGCGCCTGTGACAATGACACTAATCCAAAGTCCACACCCAAGGGAATGTGCATCAACACACTTGAAAATGTAGCTGCGAGCTGCATCGGTCCTATGTGGAGCTGCTGAGCCAGGGGACATGCTGTAAGCGAGCTCAGCATGACAGGAACGGCAGTCACAAACCCTTATCTTCAGCCGAGTTCACACCCTTGAGAACACCGTGAGCAAGGACAGCTGATGTGAAGCAAGAAGGCTGACGTCACTGTTGAGTGTGGAGCACAAGATGTACATATAGAATAAAAATAACTACTTGCTGGCCTGTTTATTCATGCACCCAAAAGCCCTTCAGACTTGGTTGACATTTCATGCTAAATAACGGTAATGACGAATGGAAGTTCTGCCATTTTCCTGTCATTTTTGTTTTGTTCTTCCTCTTTCCCTCTCATTTCCCCTTCCCCATTTTTAAAGCTCTGAATAACAGCCAGACATAAAAAGCCAACTTGAGGCTCATCGGGGTGATCTGCGTCAGTCATCCCCCACCCCTGGACTGTGTGAACGCAGAGGCCGACTCTCTGAGTGAGGCTTCCAGGTGCTGCAAAACGCTCCATTCATAGGGACACTGAGTGTAAAAAGAAAGCTGCCCATGGGTAAAAGGAACACAAAACACAATGAGAGAGTGATCGTTCTCAGAGTGACACTGGGGCCTCTGCGGGAAAGCTAGGCAACACAGTGCAGATGAAAGAAAGGCAGAAAAAACATTTTGGCCAGAGCAGATGCGAAACCGTTAGAGTGAAAAGAACAGGCTCGCTCTTGACTCGCTGGGGCAGATCTCGCCGCAGGGCAGCAGGCGGTGCTGGTCCAGATACTCTGGGGAGTCTGCGCGGTGTGCCCGGAGCCCCTGGGCGAACACGGGGCACGTTGCTGAGAAGCAGTATTTTGTGTCTCTCATTCATTCCCAGTTAATCTCTTAAGTTTTCTTCAGCAACAGAACTTATTTGTAATGCCATGTGCTCTATTGTCTCTTGGGGATAAATAATTAATTTCTACTAGGCTACACCTTGGCTTTAAAATAATTCGTGAAAATCTCAAGGGAAGTCATCAATTTAGAGAGGAAATCAAAATTGGGAAACTTGATTAACCTTATTTCAGGGAGTGTGGGATCATATGAACAAACTGCATAATTTTTTGTAACTTTTGAAACTCTCTTTTTCTATATTCCTTCATTGCTATCTAAGCATGCTGCGTACATATTTTTATCTCTAATATACTTACATTTCTATGTGTGTATTAATTTCACAGATTTGATTCCTATGTTGTTGTCTATTATTTACATATGTATACATTCATACTCTAACTCAGTTTGGTAGACCTGAAAAATAAGCCCAGTATGCTTTAACTAGAACATGAGATGGTCAACAAACAAGTCCTATATTCATTCCAATTCCTTCCTTCTCCTGTGGTCCCAGACCCCCTTCACCCCCAGCCTGGACCACTGCAATGGCCTCCTACGGGCTCCTGCTCAGTCCACGTGCCCCCTGCTCCCTGGTCTCCACACACAGCTACAGTGGTGTTTAAAAAAATGTCACAAATCATGACATTCCCTTACTTTAAACCTCCAATGAAAGGAAACCTACGGATCAAAAGAGACTTATGCCAAATACCCACTAGTTGTAATATATGAACTTTATTAAGATCCTGATTCAAGCAAACTGAAGCAAAAATTATACACACATCAACCTTTAAACACTGACACAATATTGGATCATGTTAATTTGTTGTTCTTAAAATATTCTTCAATGTTCCCGCGTGATACATGCAGAATTATTTATGGGTGAAATGAAACCATATTTGGAGTTTGCATTAAAATCTGGGTGGGCTGGGGAGGACTGGGTGGGATGTGGATGAAAGAGGAGGTTCAGGAGTGGTTGATTGTGGGAGCTTGGCAATGCCTCTTGGTTACTTGTGGTACCATTCGATATACCTTCGAGTATGTTTAGCATCAATTGTGTTTTTAAAACCAGAAATATATGACAAAACAGAGCCCTCCGCAGACTTACAACTGAACTTTGGCTCATCCCAGGCCTGCGGACTGGACTCTCTCCTCCACCTGCAGGCTCCTCTCCTCCACCTGTAGGCTCCCCTCCTCCACCTGCAGGTCCCTCTCCTCCACCTGCAGGCCCCCCTTCTCCACCTGCAGGCCCCCCTTCTCTACCTGCAGGCCCCCCTCCTCCACCTGCAGGCCACCCTCCTCCATCTGCAGCCCCCCTCCTCCATCTGCAGCCCCCCTCCTCCACCTGCAGGACCCCCTCCTCCACCTGCAGGCCACCCTCCTCCATCTGCAGCCCCCCTCCTCCACCTGCAGGCCCCCTCCTCCACCTGCAGGCCCCCCTCCTCCACATGCAGGGTCCCCTCCTCCACCTGGAGGCCCCCCTCCTCCACATGCAGGTCCCCCTCCTCCACATGCAGGCTCCCCTCCTCCACCTGCAGGCTCCCCTCCTCCACCTGCAGGCCCCCCTCCTCCACCTGCAGGTCCCCCTCCTCCACCTGCAGGCTCCCCTCCTCCACCTGCAGGCTCCCCTCCTCCACCTGCAGGCTCCCCTCCTCCACCTGCAGGCTCCCCTCCTCCACCTGCAGGTCCCTCTTCTCCACCTGCAGGCTCCCCTCCTCCACCTGCAGGCTCCTCTCCTCCACCTGCAGGCTCCTCTCCTCCACCTGCAGGCTCTTCTCCTCCACCTGCAGGCTCCTCTCCTCCACCTGCAGGCTCCTCTCCTCCACCTGCAGGCTCTTCTTCTCCACCTGCAGGCTCCCCTCCTCCACCTGCAGGCTCTTCTCCTCCACCTGCAGGCTCCCCTCCTCCACCTGCAGGCTCCCCTCCTCCACCTGCAGGCTCTTCTCCTCCACATGCAGGCTCTCCTGCACCCCAGGTCACTACCTTGGTTTCCTTGGGTTCCTCCAGCACTTGCTGCACATCCTGGCCAGGAGTCTCAGTATCTGTTCTTCCCTCAGCCAGGTCCTTCACATCACTGGGGCCTCAAGTCAAAGGCCATCTCCCAAGACGCTTTCCCTGGGAAGTCACCAGGTTTTGTCTCTAGCTGCCCTGCTTTGTCCCCTTCCTATGCATTGTTTTTTTTTTTTTTCTGGTTTATGACAGCCTTCCTGCAGAGGACAATGGCTCCTGGGCAGCTGCGACCTGCCCTGAATTTCCATTCCTTTACCCCAGAATCTACTATAAAATAGAGCCTGGTGCATTCAATAAATATTTGTTGAATGAATAAATAAATGTTATAATCCCCAGTGACAAAGCAAAATCCATTATTATGTGTGTTAAATCTTTCCTTTTCTATGTTTTCAGAATTAGATTGATAGGAACAGAAAGAAAGGGTTGATTGTTTTCTTATACTCCTTCTCTCTTGCTCTCTCTCTCTCTCTCTGAAAATTACAACGGGAGAAAAAAATAAGAGGAAACTAAATGTGCACTGTTTCTTCTAAGAACATACTCCAATTAGTGGCAATACTGTGAAAAGTAGGCAAATGGAGAAAAATTCTTTCCTCCCCCTAAACAATCTTCCACTTTTCCCACTTTTCTCTCTCCTTGATTCTCTGTGTAAGGAGCTGGTATAACCATGATTCAGAAAACTCCAACCCAGCTGCAAATGAACTAATCATTTGTTAGGAAATAGACCTTAAATAATGAAAATAGACTTTCCCCCTTCCAACTTCAAAAGTATTTCACTGTTTTTCTCTTCTTCTTCCAACTCCATAATCCTCTGCTCCAGCAATGGCCCCTCCCCCTCCTCCCCAGGTGGTCTCTTTGTATTAATGCAGGGTCATAGCGAAGCAGTTGCTTCTGATATTCTACCAAATTCCATTAAAAATGAAACATATATGTTACTCCGATTTTATGTCTTGTCAGTCAGAAGCATGGGACACATTTTGCCGAAGGGGAAAGAGCCATGGAAGCCAAGGGGTTAAACTCATTTTTAATTTGCCCACAGATGGATGCACCCAGCTTTTCCTTTATCTGAGAAGCCTACATCCATAGGACTGCAATAACAAATATCCAGGAAGCTGCATTCACTGTGAAATTTAACAAAGGGAATTAGCCACAGTATGTGAACAGTAACTTTAAATAGCAGAAGCGACAAAGAGAACTGTGGCTGATAAATGAAAACTAGTAATTACAATATTAGTACCCTTTCCACATTAAGTTTCTAAGCCACATTAAAAGGTTGCTCACAATTCCACTTTTCCTTTCTCTCATCAAAATAGAGCAAAATAAAATATAATAGAGACAAATTGCCAGCATAAAATATTCTTACACATAATGCAATTTCTAACTGTAACAATTAATTTTAAAATATTTTTTAAAAACTTAAAAATATTTTTATAAAGATTATTTTACCAGGCCAGCCCCAAGGGAAGACGCGAAACAAACCTCATTTTTCTCAGCCTTCATCCAGGAGGAATGGACTGTAGACTTTCTCTTTAATATTTAATCTAAACTTTATTAATTTTTTTTAAAATAAAAAGATTCTGTGTCTAATTTATGCTCACCTCCAGGACTGCTCTAAAGCATGGCTCATGTGATGTAAGGCCTACATAAAAGGCCGTATTATCTGGAGCTTTCTTTATTATCATTTTAGTTTAGCCATATTTTTCTTTCTTAGCTTTAAAAAGCATTGATCTGAAACAAGCCCTCGCACTGAAACCGTCTACACTGCAAGAACGCTATGGAAAGGAAAGCAGAAAAATAGCAGGGCTTCTATTCTCTGAAGACCCATCACCAGGAGCTGCAGGCTACCATCATTCCACTTCCCACCATTCAGCTGATGAGAAAGTGAAAAGCGTGCCCCAAGAATGGTTTTCCATATCAACAGCCTTCAGAATGAGATGCACTGGGCCTGTCTCATCTAGTCCTCTGTAGTTGATTCTTCTCACCTGATGAACTGTTTTCATTCTTGGCTGAACATTTTAAGAAGGCCAAAAATAGACACATGGGTATCCTAGCATAATAAGTGAAATGAAAACCAATAGGAAGCTGCAGATGCTTAGAAAACTAATCACTTAATGGACACATAGTGGACCTTTAATCCTTTGAAGGCCTGTCAAGGAGATGAAGTAGACTTATTCTGTGTGATTCTAGAAGGGTAGAACTAAGATCAACAGGTGGAAGTTGCATGATGAAATATTATAACCCAACATAAGAATTTTCTCGCAATTAGACTCGTTTAAAAAATAAATCGATCTCCTTGCAAAGTAGGCAACTCCTGATCCCTGGCAGGGCCCCAGAGTCATGGACTGATGCCACTGTCCGGTGTACTACTGACTACTGAAAAGTTTGGTGCCTTACCATGTGGCAGAGATTGCTACTTGTCCACAGAAATTCAGCCTTTCCCAACCACAGAAAACACTTGTCCCTAAGAAATGGCTGCTGAGCTGGCGACCCCACTTCTCAGCCTCGTTTCCATACCTCTGGGGTCTTGTGAGACGTTCTCACCATGAGAATGTGAGCAGAAGCCATATTGTCATATCTAAGCCATAGTTGTTAGGGAGCCGGTGGCCATCTTCACCCTCTCCTCCTCCATCTGCGGTTTGGATGCTGACGACTTGGAGTCACAGGAAGGAAGGAGGCTCAGGCCTTGAAAGCTGCTCATAGACCAAGAACACGTGCACTAGATGGATATATAAGCCAGAGTTAAGCCAGTGTAATCTGGGGATTTATTTATTTTTTACAGCAGCCACCATTATCCTAATAATGTCTTCTTCCAAATGTAAAGAGAGTGTTGATTCTCAGTAAATATGTGTTATTTCTGAAATTTATGAATTACATAGGAATTCTAGAAATTTCTCTCTTCAGGCATTGCCACTAGGACAAATGGTCAGGAATCTGACTTGTTTTAGTCCTAGTTAAGAGCCCCTGTCGTGGATAGTCTAAGCCAAACCTTCCCAAACAGCTAAAATGGAAGCTGTAATTCAGCAGGCACATAGTTCCTTACTTCACACGCCCTCTGAGTCATTTTTAGACCTTGGGCACCATATAGACCTTGAGCAGCTTGGGGGACACTGGATCTTGAATTGTTTCCTAATTACTTTAATTTTTATTGAAAAAAAATGGGGCCACAGGCAACAAAAGGGATCCTAATTGGGACTAGGATGGTAATTCCGCTATTGGGCGAGAGACAAGTATATTAACCAGAAACCAAGACTCTTCCTGAAGGACAACTGAGAACATTTGCCTCCTCAGACTTGCCAAGGCATGACAGGTGTGGTCTGTGAAACTGGGTTTCTTCCATGCGCACCTCATTCTTTTTTTCCTTTTTAAAGGACATTTAATTTCCATGTAACTGTGACGGCTGGAGTCACCCTTAGCACCAAAACAGCACGGGTGGTGAAGGTGCCACCTCAATTAAACATTCATATCTTTATACCATGCTCTGTGGCCATTAGGAATTATGTATTGAAATTGTTTGGGTTGAAAATATGGGTCATCTTTTGTAGAGCAGGGGGCCTGAGGCAACAAGAGGTTAATCCTTTGTCAGGGGCTGTGTCAACCCACGGCAAAACCTGGTTCAGAAGCCGACGTGTTTATTTCCCTTTGCCGCACTCAGTTGGACTCAGAGAATGTTACTGCTAAAAGATCAAACCTTTATCTCAAGCCAGATTCCTGCAGCGGGAGGGGAGGGGATGAACAACCAGCTTGTTTTTCTGTTGTGTGCTTAGTCTAATCTATACATTCACACGGATCCGTATTTAGAACATGTCTGGTAATAGATTTTTACGTCCAGAATAGCATATGCAGTTCTTTATGAAGATACCGAGAAGGAGCAGGGATATTTTTCCTCCGAGTTCTTATCAGGGGCTCTAGTTCTCGCTGTTCCTCTGGATCAGGTGGGGAAGAACCTGGCTGCTGTGGAAGTTGATGCTGTCTGTCAGGGATGCAAAGCGTTGGAGTCTTTCTCATGGTTGCCGGGCGGGGTTTGGCGGGGAGGCGGTCTGTCATCGGCAGGCAGAAGTAGAACTCGTTTGGGGCCGTGGTGAGTCGATGCTGTCGATTTGGTTTTGAGTTGAGGTTTAGTTTTTCTTTGACTACATAGATGGCTATCCTGGATCATGAAGCCTTCAGAAGTGGAGTCGGCACTTTTCCCTTATGGGAAGCGTGAGTGGTGCAGGGGCTGAGGAGCTGAACTCTGTGACCCCTGGGGTCCTTCTTGTGCTAACATTCTGCGAGCTAGGACTCCAAACTGCACTCATCATGCTGCCCCGGCCAGAGGCACTGCTAATTTCGATGAGTATAATTAAAAGATTCCCTCCATTGAGAGCCGCCTGCTTCTTGGAGAAGCCCAGCACTGGAGCTTTGTGATTCTCCAGTGGCCGGCCCAGGTGTGGCAAAATTATTAAGCCAACGTCACCAACTACCCTGCTGCCACCACGTGGGTCTCTCACCTAAATACCTACCTCCACTTCTTTGAGAACGGCCCTGGTGGTTCTGGCGGCCCGTGGGGCCCCTCCCTGGGTGCTCGGCCACGTGTGGCTCTGTGTGGCTGCCCTGCATCGGGGCTGCGGGGTCCAGGAGGAGTCGGTGCCTCCGGACATGTCCCTCTCCGCTGTGTCTGAGGATGCTGCAGGGGTGGCTGTGCTGTGTGTGAACGTGCAAACGTGCGACTACAGCTGTTGTGGGGGCTCCTCAGTCCTTCCTCGGATCTGGGGGCCCTAAGACATGTGGACACCCGTGCCCCTGGCTCCCTCTAGTGGTGCGTGGACCCCATCCTGAATTTTGCTTCCTAAGCCCTGGTGTGGCTGAGGTCTGGAGTCTCTCTTAAGTTCCAGGGGCCCTGGGAGCATCCTGACAGGTACCAGTGTCTTATCCCAAAGGCACCGTGCACCAGGGAGGCCTGCAAGCCCTGGAGAAGGGGTTTTGCTCTTCTCTGCCTTCAGGTTCAATTTCCTGCCAGTGCCCTGACCCCAGGCTTCTGCCTTGAAGACTGCATTTGGGGTTTCTTGGCTTTGCTGGCCTGCCTGGCAGCCCAAGGTAAAGGGGCAGACAACTCCTGCACCGGGGCTGGAGCCGCACCGGAGCACCCCCACCCCCAGCTCTTGTCTTTCATGTCCCAGAAATTGTTTTGCAAATTTTCATCCCTACAATTCTCAAACGACCCTGAGAAACACCACCACCACCGATGAAATAAACCGAAACAGCAACCACAGTCTCAAAATTGAAGAAGGCATATCGGGGCATTTGACTGACCTGACTTTTGCTGAGAATTACGAATTCCTTCATTTTACATTTTTGCTTAAATTCTATTTCTGTAATCAAAGAAATAGGGATTTTCTGATATTTCTAAAACAGCACTTACGGGTTGTTTGTTAGGTTAAGTGGACTCGCACCTGGGAAGGAGCACAGTGGGGTGGCTAAGAGCGTGAGCTGTTGATCTAGTCTACCTGCGCTCAGGGGCTGGCCCTGCTGTTGACTTCTCATGTGGTTCTCAGCAAGTTATTAAACATGTGCTCCTCAGTGTCTTCATCTGAAAAATGTACCTGCCTGAGATCTCCTGGGAGGGTTAACTGAGATATTACCTGGAACTGCCATTACCTGACATTCAATAAATGTTAGCTATTATTATTAGAATGAAGACAGCACCCAAAAACGTACACTTCCGTGAACTCTTGCTTCAACATGTTTGTGCTTCAAGATCTCGCCAAAGTCAAACTAATTTGGCTTTGGAGATTTAGAAAAAGGTGGTGTGGTCTTGCTGGGACCTGATTCGCCAAGCACCAACTCACCGTGTGTTTGTGGCTGATGCAATGGCTGGAAATAAGAGGCTGTAGAGAACTGAATGCCTGCAGAGTGGAGTCATGGGATGGACTTTATTTGTAGACGGCTGATTAAATTCTGACCCAAGTTAACTTGGGATGGCTTTTAAGTGGCCTGTGTGGATGCATTTTGGGCTCAAGCCCAGCTCTTAGAGAACAGGTGTCCACCAAGAATGTTGGCACTGGTCTTGGAAGCTTTTGTGGGAGACAAAGCCTGGGATTAATCCAAGGGTCCTTAGATCCCCCACCTTGGGGAAAGGCCCACTGGGCAGTGGTCTCAGACCTAAAAGTGGGGACACTGGCTATAAATGGTGGGGTGGAGAAAAACACACAATGATGGTTTCCAAAGCTTGTCAGTTGCCAATGTTTTAGAAAAGTAAAATGTAATGGTGAGGAGCTGGGGAGTCAATGCTTCCAATAGTAGTGGTGACACTGAATTTGGTGCTTGTGATGACATGTTGAATATTCAGCTCACCCGTCAAACCACATCTCTTGAAGCCTGAAGTCCCAGGGATCAGAGCTGATAAGTCTGAGCAGCTTTCCTGAGTCACTCAGTCCTGGGACCCAGCAGCGAGCACATGTTTCCCGTTGCCTGTCCTGACCCTCGCTTCTGTTGGGACCTATACCTGCTTTATCACTGAATGCTGAGATGACATATTTTTCCCATGTTGTAAACACACCAACATGTATTTTTCCAGGAGCCTAATTGTAAAGAGCAGTCAGACTTGGAGGAAATGGTTACTAAATTTGTCTGAATCGGAAATGCACCTCCTTTAGTGGATATGAGATGGAACGTCGCAGTTGCTTCCTAAAGGTCTCCTTTTCATCATCCTCCTGACCTTTTATAAAAGAAAGAAGCAAAGAGAAGAATGAAAAATGCACGAGTCACTGTTTTACTTCTTTCAACTCCCATCGCTGATGTTGACATGGACCAACAGAGATTTGAAATAAAGCCAGTGTAGCGGGAGGAGTGGTGAACTCCAGAATTTTGGGACTAATCCCCACCATCAAAGGCTGGGCTGTGTGGTACAAGAAAAGCAGGATGTCAGTGAGAATCCGGCATTGATCTCCCCCGTCTACAAACATGAATCAAGACGAAGTTTGCCCCTGCACCCCACCTCACCCTCCCTCTCAACAGGGCCATGCACTTGCTTCTCCTTCCAGAGGAGGGGCGTCCCCGTGCTGCTGGAAGAAGCACTTGGAACACTTTCTCTTTTGCTTCTCTTTTTTTGGGAGGTTGTTGTTTTTGTGGTTGCCATTGACTTCGAGTGTGGCTGGGGGTGAGTTGCCCAATAGTTGTGGTACGTCTCAGACACTCTGTCACCCAAATATGGAACTGTGGCAGCAGAAACACCTTATGAAAATAGCATGAAAATGTGTAATGTGCCATAAATAAACAGAAAGAGACCGCCAGGAAGCTGTGCTAATCACCGCTTTGATGTCGCCTGAATTACTGTATTTTTTAAGGGCCTCGTGTTTCTGCTTGTTTGTTGCGACTCAGCTGCCACTGCTCTATGAAAGGTTGGATCCAGTTTTCCAGCTCTTCTCCCCTTTGCAGTGACAGCTGTTGTCCCTTGACTCATAGGAAAGCGATTTCTCCACCCTTCCCTGACTCCCAGCCCTTTCCTGGCAGGACTCCTGCGAACCTTACTCTTCGTCCCTGCCCTGAGGTGGCCGAGGGTGAGGACGGCCGCTTGGCCTGAGTCCATGCGCTCCCAAAGTTCCTGTGTCATTTGCCAGCCGGTCCCAGGACTCTGCAGCAACGTCCTATTTTTAATCTCTGGTAACCTGGCCTTCTCTTATTTGGCCATGTCATGTCGGGAAATGGAAGTTTGGCTTGACTTATGTAGCAAAGAGCTTGTAGGAGCACAAGCCCCTCGCTGAGCAGAGCTTGCAGGAAGAAAGCCCCAGATCCTTCAGTTTTGGGTTGCCAGGGCTTTCTGGCTTTGCCTACACCTGGCAGTCACTCAAAAAAAGTCCCAATCCTGAATTGCTTCTCATAAGTCTACATGTTCTTAGGTTTGATAAGAGCTCAAGGCTGCTCTCCTTGATTTTAAGATTCTATGATGTCACAAAGCGCAGGTGAATGCCAGACACTGTTTCCTTTCTGTAACTACCCAGGTAACCACTTGCACAAGTGACCTGTGGGCAGCCCTGGTGCAAGTTCCGTCCATGCCCGGGGCAATCCCGGCTCCACTGCTGGGTCCAGGAACGCCCTCTTGTGGTTGGAAGAGCTTTGACCGACTTTATTTTTTTTAAAAAAGAATTACATTATTAAACATTTTCTCAATTTTTGTGTTTTATCTAGTCTTGGGAGTGAAAAATGCTAGTTTTTAGTTGAGGATAAGTAGGGGGGAGAGAAATTAGAGGTAGTTTTACCATCATCATCATTGCTGTATTCAAGCCCCAGTCCACCGAGCTTGTCCTTCCAGCCTGGACATTGAAGACGTCTCTTTAATGGTCTCTTTGCCTTCTGGATTCTGTGCCCTCACCTGCGTCAAAATTAAACTAAATTTTCTTGAAACACTTTGTTTGTTTTTGTCCCTGCTTTGTTCAGAAAATGTGAAAAGCTGCCCTCTGGATAATTTAAAGGCTGAACCCTTCATAGGCTCTAGGTTCTTCTAGAGTCTTCGTAAACCCAGTTCGTCCTCTCCCAGGAGCGTCTCTGTCCATCTCACCACGAGGTCCTCATCGTGGCCCTTTGTGGAGGCTTCCACTTTAATCCCTCGAAGTTTGCAATTCATGTGTTTTTGCATCTTTTATCTTATGAAAACAATGATCTATCTCCCTATCTAGATGATCGCTCATGGGAAGGGGCCAACTCTTCACTTTTTCTTCCTCTTTGGTTCATATCAACGGCAGCAGCAATGGTGATAATGATACATGTGGCTCTTTCACTACCCACCAGGCACTGGAGAAACTCTGTGTGAGCATCAGTTTACCTAATCTCACAGAACACTGTGGCGTCCACATTATTAGTCCCATGTGACAGCTGGAGCAGCAGAGGTGTAGACAGGTCCTGGAGGTTGTCCTGGTTGTAAGTGAGTAGGAGAGGAGGCCAGTGCGGCATGCAGGACTGCGCTCCTGACCGTGTTGTCTGTCTTACAAAAGACCCTGTGATATGAGTTTGTTTCGACAGTCATAATCGCAAACATAACGATGAAACGTTAAAGTTGTCTGCTTTCAGACACGAATATAGAAAAAGATTTGGAAAAATAAAGCTTATTTAAAAATATTATACATTATTGAATATACAAGAAAATATATGACAAATGCAAATTAAGTTCTATCTCTCTGATGCACTCTCGTGGGTAGATAAATGATCATTACATCTTACGAAGCTGCTGCCTCTGAGTGGCAGAGAGCCCAACCAAAGGGGCTTCAACAGCAAGGAAACTGGCCACCCTCACTTGGTGGGCTTTGGGATTTACTCAACTGACAGCTCCATCTCCAACAGCATGCGGCGCTCGGGCCCATCTTTCCACTGGTGGCTGCTGGCGAACTAAGATGTAGGTTTGAGACCCACGTTTGGGCAGACAATGTTGAGAGGAGGAGCAGACAGTGGCTCGCAGAAGCTCTTCCAGAGCAGCTGGAAAAGACCTTCTCAGGATTCTCCAGTGGAGCTCACCCTTGTCCCCACCTATCCTCAAGAACCCCGCACAGTCGGGCTTAAATAGGGATGTTTAAAGAGGGTTCCCTCAATGGCAGCAACAACTGGGACACTGCTAAAAAGGAGGGAGGGAGGTTTGCGGTACAGGGATGACACTCCTGGCGTGGCATGTTAGAACTCAGGGTATGCTTTTGTTTCTTCACTTGTGTTTCTCACTTGGCCTTCTTCACTTGGGATGAATGTACTGTGGGATGGCAAGTTCACATTTCTCTCTCTGTAAGAGAAAGAGTTGGTATCTCACTTCAGAGGGACTACCAGTGTGTAAGAAGTCAGCCGGAAGCCATGCACGGGGCCCAGCCAGCATCAGCTCCTTTCTGCCTGTTTCTGACTCCTGACTGCACCCCTCTCCTTCGTCATGGAGCCAGACCATGCCTGTTGAGCACTTGCCCTGTGTCTCTGTTCTAAGTGTGGGGACACAGTGGCAAGACAGACTGGCCAGGTGCTCACTCTCAGCTCAGCTGTGGAGCTGGGGAGCTCACAGCTCAGAGAGGGAAAAGGGCTGTGGACTAAAGAACAAAAGGGTCACTATGAATGGTGGTGTTCAGACTTACACATTTCAAGATGGCTCCAGGAGAGCATCAAATCAAGCTCAGGGCCCTTCTGAGTGTGGGCCTCATGCAGCTGTGTTGACTTTGCACCCGTGGCAACACCTCTGGTCAGGACACCTGTCCAAGGAGGTGACATTTGGATTAGATCATAGTGAGAGCTGGGATAGAACATTCCAGCAAAGTCCTAGTGGGGTGAGCATCCTGACTTGTGAAGGACCCAGTGAGAAGGGGCAGCTAGGGCAGGTGGTGCAAGTAAGAGCAGAAGAGGGGGCAGGTGCCTGGGATGGTGGGGGCTTTGGGGTGCTTCCCCAGGTTCAACACCACATGGTTCAGGATGACAGCTGCATGGATTGTATTCTCTGCTGATGGGGGGCTGATATGGTTTGCTGTGTCCCCACCAAATCTCATCTGGAATTGTAGTTCCCATAATCCCCATGTGTCATGGGAGGGACTCTGTGGAAGGTAATTGAATCATGGGGGCTGTTACCCCCATGCTGCTATTCTCGTGATAGTAAGTCAGTTCTCACGAGATCTGATGGTTTTATAAGGGGCTTTCCTCCCCTTTGCTCAGCACTTCTCCTTCCCGCCACCATGTGAAGAAAGTTGTGTTTGTTTCCCCTTCAGCCATGATTGTGAGGCCTCCCAGCCATGTGGAACCATGAATCCTTTAAACCTCTTTTTCTTTATAAATTACCCAGTCTGGGGTATGTCTTTATTAGCAGCATGAGAACTGACTAATACAAGGGCTTAAGCAGAGGCGTGTCCTGATCCAACGTATGTCCCCTAGAAGATCCCTTGGAGCAAAAATGCTTTCTGGGTAGGATGATGACGATTGGTTCAGAGGCTGGTCCAGTTGCTCAGAAAAAGAATTATCTAGCATAAAACTGAACAAGAGTTTTTATATATACTGAAGAATGTTTCCATACATGGGCTGATATTTATCATATTTATTAAAATATAGATTATACCATGGTACTTGCATGGACTTTGCACACCTACGTAAGGTTGATATGGTTTGACTGTCCCCACCCAAATCTCATCTTGTACCTCCCATAATTCCCACGTGTTGTAGGAGGGACCCAGTGGGAGACGATTGAATCATGGGGGCAGGTCTTTCCCGTGCTGTTCTTGTGATAGTGAATGGGTCTCATGAGATCTGATGGTTTTAAAAGTGGGAGTTTCTCTGCAGAAGATCTCTCTTTTTTGCCTGACTCCATCCACCTAAGATGTGACTTGCTCCTCCTTGCCTTCCACCATTGTTGTGAGGCCTCCCCAGCCATGTGGAACCGTAAGTCCAATTAAACCTCTTTCTTTTGTAAATTGCCCAGTCTCGGATATGTCTTTATCAGCAGCATGAAAACAGACTAACACAAAGGTTCTATACTGACAAGTGTGTGAAACATGACATTACACAGCTAATGCTTATTTAAATCTGAAAACCAATGGAAATATTCTGTCTCAGGATAACTCAACTTCATCGAGGTATATCCATCCTGCCTCCTCCAGTTTGACAGGGCCTTGGTTGAATGTCACTTCTGGGTCTGCTTCTCGCCAACTGGGACACTGGACCCCAGCTGGTGGATCCTCCCCAGTCCCCATCAATGCCTCCCTCCAGGCAATGCTGTGTTGGTCCTTGTTTCTGGCAAGACCTCTCACCACAAAAGTACTGAAGCTCCACCCAAGACTGGAGCTATTTTTGTGTGTTTTTCTTCCCCCAAGCGGTGTGCCTCTGGGGTGCCAGGGACTGTGCATGCGTGCTTAGGTGTCTAGGGAGGGTGCTTGCCATTCCCTGGGCCCTCCCCTCTGTGCATTTTGGCCAATGAAAGAACAAAGGAGCAGCAGCCAGTTACAGGAAGGAATGTGGATTTTGACCTGATCCTAGGGTCAGGTCCCGCGTCTGCAGACTTCTTGCTGTTTGATCTTAATCTCTCTACATCTCAGGCTCACCATTTGTAAATGGGGAGATAACAGTGGCTCCTCTGCATATTAATCTGCCAAGGCTGTCATGACAAGTTCCACAGCCTAGTGGCTTAAACAACAGAAATTAATTTTCTCACAGTCCTGGAGGCTGTAAGTCCAAGATCCAAGTGTCAGCAGGGCTGGTTTCCTCCACGGCCTCTCTGTTTGCCTGCAGGTGGCTTCACGTGGTCCTTCCTCTGTACATGTCTGATTTCCTCTTCTTGGGTTTCATCCCCACTGCCCCTCCACTGGGTAACTTTGTGCCATGAATGAGCGTGCAGGCCTCCTACTTATTTTTGCCAAATGTAGAAATGAGAAACTGGAAGAGTCCTTGGAGTCCAGGGGAAAAACAGAGGGTTTTTCCATTCTGACAACATTGCTTCCTCCCACCGTGGAGGACATGTTGGGATGGTTTAGGTGATAAAAGAACTAGTAATGGAAGAACTGGTTATACCTTCAAGTAGAATTGAAATTTAACCTTTATAAAGAGTATTTGTGAGGCAGGAGGATTGCTTGAGTCTGGGAGTTTGAGGCTGCAGTGAGCTATGATCATGCTCCATCGTGGGCAATAGATCATGATCATACTCCATCGTGGGCAATAGAGTGAGACTCTGTCTGTAAGAAATAAAAAATAAAATGAAAAAGATGAGTATTTGAAATTGATCACCTTCTTTAGAAATGAAGAGTGATTCTTTAGTTGACAGAGATTTATTAAGTCCTAATATTCAAGGCACTGGAGAGCCCAAAACAAAACAGAAAACAAAATCCCTGCCTTCTTGGAGCTTTGACTGGGGGAGAGAGATCATCAATAAATAAAAAACGCAGTGTGCCAAATGGTGGTGAGTGCTAGGCAGGAGGATGAGGTGGGAGGATGGGGATGGGGTGGTGGCTTTATTGAATAGGACGGTCCTGGGGGCCTTTCCAGGGTCTCCATGGAGACTGGGGGTTAGGGCAAGCTACTTGGATATTTCCAACGAGAGATTCCGGGCAGCCCAAAGGGCAGCAGTGGCCACAGACACAGCTTAGTCAGATGTAAATTGCTTCTGCTTCTGGATTAAACCTTACGTGTTTATTTATATCTGTGACAAGTAACAAAGAAGTAAATTTCTTTTACAGGTTTAGTATCCCTTGTCTGAAATGCTGGGGACGAGAAGTATTTCAGGTTTTGATTTATTTTTTAATCTTGGAATATCTGCCTTATTCTTGCCAGTTGAGCATTCCTAATCTGAAAATATGAAATCCAAAATGCTCTTTTGAGCATGACCTTTGAGTGTCATGTTGGTGCTCAAAAAGTTTGGGATTTTGGAGCGTTTCAGATTTCAGATTTTTTGATTAGGGACGCTCAACCCGTACCTGCAGGTCAGCAAGTTTTCAGGCCACATTGTGAATTGTTCTCTGAGCCTTTTTCATCTGAGCTTCTAACTTTGAAATGTGACTTTTGTTTATCAGTATTGTGCCTGACAGGAGAATTTCTAGCTTCTAGGGTTTTCCCCTCTTTGATTAAACTACTTGTTAATGGGGCTAAATATCTTCTTGTGATGAGAACACGTGAATTCAGAATCTGTTACTAGAGCTATGGGTATGAGAAGTATAAAATATGCCAGTCTTGCAGAAAAATATCAAGATACAGAATTTCCTTAATTTTGATTGCCTCTCTCCACATCATGCAATAACAACTGTATTTGCAAAATGCAAAGGGAAGATCAGGAGTTTCTCTCTCTCTTTTTCTTCTGTCTCTGTGCTTCCCCTCTTTCCCTATTATTTTCCGGAACCAATTTTTCATGTGCAAAAAACTCAAGTGAACATTTTTTTTTTCTGAAAGGAATTCTAAAATGTCTAGTGGCATCCTTTTATCCTCCTAAAATATGTAGAGTGTATTTATTAGTTTTATTGAGGTAAAATTGATATTAAAAAGTTACATCCCTTTAATGTATATATCCTGACGAGTTTGGACATAAGCACATTCCTATGATACCATTACCACAATCAAGACACTAAACATACCCATCACCTCCAAAAATTTCCTTGTGCTCTTTTGTGTGTGTGGCTTTTTTTACATTTTTGTGTGTGATAAGAACAGTTAAGATTTATCCTTTTAAAGCTCACAATACTATATTGTTAATTACAGTGTTTTTCTGTACAATAGATCTCTAGAAATTATTCATTTTGCATAACATAAACCTTGTATGCATTGAGCAAAAAGTCCGTTTCCCCCTAGTCCCAGCCTTTGACGCCACAATTCTATTCTCTGCTTCTATGAGTTTGACTATTTTAGATACCTCATATAAAATATAATACTGTGATAAGTGAAATTATACAGTATTTGTCTTTTGTAGAGTTTGTTTTTTGAAAAGGTTATAGCAATTAGACATCCTGCTAAATTTCCCCACTCCACTTCAATTATCATGTGATTCTCTGGCTTACATCTGCTCACAGATGCATCCATGCACTCAAGATGAGAGATACTCTTTGCTCTTTTTCTTATCTACTAAAGATCCTTGCTTCACACACTGCATATGGTAAACCCTCAGTAGGTATTTGTGAATTGTATTTGAACTTACTCTCAAATCCAGATAGTAGAAAACAGTGCTCAAGTCACTGTGAAGGCAGAACCTCAACTTCCCCGGTACTTACCATAGGGCTTTGTGTACAGCAGGTAATCTTAGCCACCAGTAAAATTGCGTTATCTCAGCTTAGAGTTAAATCTCTATTTAAGATGTCTAAAGGCTACTTGAGGGTCTGTAATTACCTGGAAGTGCTGAAGGGCTCAAGAGCTCAATTTTCTTTTCAACTTTCATTTTGAAATTTTGAGACCCTTTTGAATGTTGGTATTTTGTGAGCTATCACTGAGGGGCCTGTCTAGATAACATGATGAGTTCTCCCACGGCTGATCTGGTGGCAGTATTTTCCTAGGCACTGATTAAAAGCCCTCATTATGGATAAACTTAAAGTTACAATGTTTTGTGGGCCGGAGAAAGATAAACTGTTAGACAGAATTTGTTGAAGAAAAAAAAAAACATCAAATTGTAGGGATGAATACAATTTAGAAAAAAAGGAGTCAGTGACAAGATATTTTATATCTGGTTGGAAGTTGAAAGGAGAATTTAAAATCCAAAGAAGTCCCCAAGGTACCCATTAATAGCCAATTTCATGTGTTTGATTCTTGCAAAGTGTAGATATTATGCTACAGAGTCTCCTAAAATTAAGGAGATATGGCTGAAAAATCTCACATTTGATTTATACATTCTTCAGTTTTTCTGGATTTTAAGTCTTGAAGCTTTTCTGTTATTTATTTATTTTTTTGCTTGCATTGGTATCAGGAGAGAGATTTGCCTACATTTTAACTTGTGAGAATGTTATTTTTTCCCTAGCCAGAAAACAAACAAAATAGTAAGATATCCTTGTTTTTCTACCTCCAAAAATCCTTGGTTGAATTCTCTTTCTCCCCTTATTCACAATTCATTTTATCAAAGAAAGATAAACCTGGGGAAAATGCTCCCAGGAGACCTCTCTTACCTACGTCTGTGTAAAGAATCTGAGCTCAGGACCTGAAAAAGCTTCTCATGAGGCCAGATGGCCATTTTCCTTTTGTTCTCTCTTGAATCTCCTCTCTTTTAAGTCCTCTGTCTTTTTCTGTTGGGTTCCCGTTTCTGTGCTGAGAATTTTCCCTCTTCTCCAGTGCTTTTTCCCCTCAGGCACCTGCTCCGTTTCCCTTCTCAGGGGAAAATATCAAATGGAAGACAGGCCCCAAATCCATTTGCCAATTTCACTCTTTCATGTATCTCAGCAGATCAACTTTTCTCAGAAATTCCACATCTTTTCCATCCTGGAAACTGGAACATGTATGTGTTCATTTTATTTGAATATAGGGAATAATAATTTTCAAAACCCTTATCCAAGTTGGGACCCTACATTTTTTATTGATTCCTTAAGTTTTGGTCAAAGTTCCCTTTTCTGTTCAGAACGTCCCTCCTTCTATGACTGATTCAAAATGCTCAGGATAGAAGACCTCAGAAGCAAGCATCACAGAAGCTGAAGCTGTCAGACTAAACGATAGAGAAAACATACTCTTAAAAAAAATTCAAATTGGAAATTGAGGAGGCTCTGGTATTGCCTATTCTATTTTGTTTATGTTTTTGGTATGTAAAGATGCAAATTCAAGTCTAGGCTCTGCCACTTAATAGCCACAAGGCCATGAAGAGCTGGTTATTCACACTGAGCCCCTGTGCCTCAGCTGTGCATTGGAATAATAATGTCTGCTCACCTGGATATGATCCGGGTCAAGGAGTGGATGCATGTGAGAGCAGCTGTGAAGTGCAACAGATATTCTGTGTGCGAACACCATTATTGGCATTGCTATTACCATTGAATTGTAGAGATGTTTATTCCACCAATATGCCAAAAATAGATTTATTTGTTAAAAATTACTTTTCCCCTGTTCATCATTATTCCTTTATGTTTTTAAACAAATTTTGTTTGTGTATGTATGGACCTACTTTATGCCACGTACTGTGATGGGTGTTAGAGACCAGAAAAAAAAAAATCCTGACAAAAAAACACAAACACAAAAAACCTACAAACGTTTGACCTGCCTGGGTGAACAACACGACCTAGTGCAAGAGACAGATGTGTAAACAGATGGTTATTACAAAGTATGATAAGTCTAAGAGCAAAAAGTGGAAGACTGTATATTTACTCTGGTGTCTCAGCATCACCTGGAAGAAACAGGATTTCCTTCCACAAAGGTAAAGGCCCGTGGTCATTATAGGATGCATAATTTTAAGTGTCATATTTGTGACATGGGGATGCCTTTGAGTATGCGGATAACTTTGGGGTTCTAAACTATTCTTCTACTTTAACCTGAATTTTTCATTTTTAAGAAACACTTATTGAGCACTATATACGTGCCCAACACTGCAGCAGCTGCTTGGAAAACAAGTACAGAACTTTCTTCCTTTAATTAATTACGCTCTTCTAGAGGAATTGCACTCATGAAACAACTAACAGGTTTGGGACAATATCAAGTAAAATAGTAGTTCTGGCTTGTTTTCTAGACCTAGTACTGGACAGCAAAAGAGCTGGACAAACCACGGGGGTAAAGAGTGTGTAGAAAGCTCAGAACCAAACAACCAACATGGGCTGATGTTTTGGAATATTACTGTTTAATAAAATAACAGCAACTACTACTCCTCCTACTACCACCACCATGACCATTGAAATTTAATGGCAACCTCTGCATTGCATTCTTTAGACAAACATTCTCTAGCCCTCATGATGATCCTCCAGGCTTTATCCTCATTTTACATGGGAGGAAACAGACTCAGAGAGTTAGGTGCGCACACAGCTCACCCAGCTAACATGCTGCACAGCTGGTAGGAATTTGAACCAGGATACTTCCAGCTTCACAGCTTCCTTCATTCCAGTGCACATGAGTGCAGCTGAAGTCTACGGAGAGCAGATGAACACTCTCGTAGCTGAGTGTGTTGGGACAGGGGATGTGGGGTAGGGGAGGCAATGGGGAGAAAGTGAAGGGAGTGAAGCTGAGCCGCAGATGAGAACTCTGAAGCCAGCAGAGGAGGAGGTGATGTCTTTAAACATTGTTTTCCTGGACTTTAGAGGCATTGACAGGGATTTCCCATGTGACTTCATAACTGATTTAAAGTGTCCAATCACTTGGATGAAGACTTAGAAGAAGACTTAGAAGATGTGTTTATCAAAACTACAGAGATACTGCAATTTCAGCATAAGAGTTAGGATGTCCAAACAGCTCAAAAATGTGGAAAATGTGCTGACCCTAACAAGATGAATTTAATAGAATGAATGTAAAAGCATGTGCTTATGTTAAAATAAATCCAACTGCAAAAACACAGGAGAGACATAGCTAAATAGTAAGATGTGTGACAGAGTTTGAAAGATCTTGCCAGCCCCAACCCTGATATGAACTGTGAGTGTGATGGGGTAGCACACAGCAATGCTGCATTCGCTCGCATTGATAGATGGACGAGGCACGGGACAGGGTTGCATGGGATATTCCAAGGTCAAGTATATGCAGAAGTAAGTTCCTGGGATGAAAGAGTATGGCACATGGGAAAGGTAATAGCTGGGGCCTTGAGTCTGAACAAGAGAAGACTAAGTGGGGAGATGAGAGCTGCCCTGAAACACTTCCAGGACCACCATAGGGGAGAGGGAGGGAAATCGTTGAGAGAGCTCTAGAGGGCAGGACTGCTTTCAGTGGGGGGAAATGATAGAGAATTGATTTCAATTCATTCCAGGGAAGAAGAATGTTCTCACAATTACAGCTGTCCAGTGACTGAATGGGCTGCCTCACAGTGTACTAATGAGTACCATGGCCTACCTGAAAAAATTTAATTACCAGGAAGTGCTCAAGTGTTCAATTTTGGTTCTAATCCCCTTTTAAGAACTTAAAAATAGTATTGAGCCATGTTGTCTGCAATATTATTAGATAACAGTGCCTTTCTTACATTATGTGATTGGTTTTCATATTACTTTTTAAGTTATTTTCTTCCTTAGAGGCAGAAACAATGTTCTTTCTGTTGATTTATGCATAATTGTACTGAATATTTCCCCTGGAGGAACATGAGCATTTATGTGTGTTTACATCTTGAAAAAAGTAGGGTCATTGCTAAATGCTTCCTTCTTGTCATGAAAGTTGACATTGAGAGTGGAGATGACGAGATTCTCTAACATGTATCTGCTGCTGCACTGTGGTTTTCTGTTGACTTGTATGTCTCCATCACCTGATGGTAATTTTTGTGTGGATGGACAGTAGCTTTGTCTTAACATCCTTTATAGTCCCAAACATTGGGCCATAGTAATTATTCAATTAATGAATAAATGATTTACTAGAGACATTCAGGTAGAATATAAATAAATAAGTAAATAAACAAATAAACCTGGGATGTTGTAAACTGATTTGTATCCCAGGCCAAAGTTTAGTCTCAGACCATAAGGCATTCTCACCTCTAAGATTGTGTGGTTATGTCCTCAGCTCCATTCTAGATGCTTGCGTGTGACGGGGATTCCAAGGAAAATAGAGATGTTTGTGGAAGGGGCAACAGAGCAAACAAAGAGTGGGGCAGCGCTAGAGAGGACTTTGTGGAAGATGTGAGCAGTGAGCTGGGTAAAACAAGTGTAGAATTTGGGCTGGCAGAGAGTACTGGGGAAGCCAAAATAGCTTAAGTGGATTGCATGGAATTAGAAAGGAGCGGGTTACATGTCCATAAAAAGCTGTGGCTTCTAGAGCAATCCACTTAGGACCAGTGCTGAAAGATCTGGATTACAGTGGGGCCAGGGAGGGAGTGGGATTGAAGCTGGAGGAGAAAATCCAATGGATGTTGCCAGGGCTCCCAAGAGTACTAGAAACTGACATATCCATTTTGAAAAAAGAAACTGGTTTTCATGCACACTGCATTATCCATATGGAGAAAGTAGTGTGGTTTGCAGAGTGAAGAAATACATAATTAAAATAGGTAAATATATGAGGCTGTCTGTTCTGATTTAGAATTGTGCGTTGAGCACTAAATCAGAAACAAATCTCCCTTCCTACTTGACCCTCACCCCACTTTGGCTGTACCTGAGGACAAGAATGAGTCCAAGCTTTCTAAATATTTAGCATCCGAGCATGCCAATGATGGCAGATGATTTGAGAATGTCCACTCCACTTCCCTCAGGAAAAAAAAGGCTGAGTGTCTGTTGTTAACTAGAAGTGGAGGGACGACTCAAATCGAAACCTCTCTACTGCTCTGTCACGGCCTTCTCCACACCCATCAATAAAACTGCTGCCCCTAAACCCTGAAGCTGGCTGAGTCAAATGGTAAGTGAACCCCAGCTGTATTAGTCCATTTTTACATTGCTGATAAAGACATACTTGAGACTGGGTAATTTATAAAGAAAAGTAAGTTTCATGGGCTCACAGTTCCACGGGGCTGGGGAGGCCTCACCATCACGGCAGAAGGCAAAAGGCATGTCTTACATGGCAGCAGGCAAGAGAGAATGAGAGCCAGGCAAAAGGAGAAACCCTTATGAAACCATCAGATCTTGTGAGACTCATTCACTACCATGAGAACAGTATGGGGGAAACCACCCCCACGATTCAATTATCTCCCACCAGGTGCCTCCCACAACACGTGAGAATTATGGGAGCTGCAATTCAACATGAGATTTGGGTGGGGACACAGCCGAACCATATCACCAGCCTTCCAGTAATCTGTGTGATGTACATGTAGGAGACAGAACTGCAAAAAGACAGGCTCATGGCTGTATAGCGCGTGCAGCACAGGGTGGCAGAGAAGGGCCTGGTGAGAGAGGCAGGAGGCTGCTGGAGGGAGCCCAGGGGGCTGCTGACTGGCCAGGACCGTGCTTGGCACCCGATAGGCCTTAGCTCGCTTCAGCCTCAGACCAGCCTCTGAGGTGGAGCTGACCCCGCCTCAAAGTGTGGAAATGCAGGTCAAAGGAGTGGAGTCACTTGGCCAGGGCCACACAGCTACGAAGTAGCAGAGCTGCATCCCCAGCCAGGAGCAGTGGTGAGGGCCACGCCATGTGCTCTGTCCCCGTGAGCTTCTCGGTGGTGATGTGGGGTGTGGGTATGGACGTTTGTGTGCTGTGGTGGTTATTTGAGTCTGAATGGTGTCCCCTCAAATCTGCATGCTAATCCCCTAACCCTCAGTACCTCAGAACGGGTCCTTATTTGGAGAAGGGATTTCTGCAGAGGAAAGCAAGTTCAAATGAAGTCAGTGGGGTGGGCCCTAATCCAATAGGACTGGGGTTCTCTTAGAAAGGAGAAAGCTGGCCGGGCGCGGTGGCTCACGCCTGTAATCCCAGCACTTTGAGAGGCCAAGGCGGGCGGATCACAAGGTCAGGAGATCGAGACCATCTGGCTAACATGGTGAAACCCCACCTCTACCGAAAATACAAAAAAAAAAAAAAAGAAAAGAAAAATTAGCCGGGCGTGGTGGCAGGCACCTGCAGTCCCAGCTACTCGGGAGAATGAGGCAGGAGAATGGCATGAACCCGGGAGGCGGAGCTTGCAGTGAGCTGAGATCGTGCCATTGCACTCCAGCCTAGGCGACAGAGCGAGACTCCATCTCAAGAGAAAAAAAAAAAAAAAAAAAAAAGGAGAAAGTTGGAGAATGCCAGGTGAGCCTGAAGACAGTCATCTGCAAGCCAAAAAGAGGGGCGTGGAGCCAGTCCTTCTTCACAACCCTGCTGACACCTTGATTTCTTCGGTTCTAGCCTCCATGACTGTGAGACAATTAGTTTCTGTCATTTAAGCCACTCAGCCTGTGGTAATTTGTAACGGCAAACTAATATCGTGGTGTTATGATTAGTTTTTATTGGCCTTCTTTATTGAAAAACGTTTTTCTAAGTTCCACATAAAGCTAAGTAATGTGAAGCTTTCTTTTTCTTATGGTGGTAAAATATATATGTAACATAAAATTTGGCGTCTTAACCATTTTTAAGTGTACATTCTGTGGCATTAAGTGCATTTGCAATGGTGTTCAACCATCGCCACTATACATTTCCCAAACTTTCTATCACCCCAAACAGAAACTCTAGGGCGGAGCTTTCTAAACCCACCTGCAAAGTTTGTTTATGCTTAAGCTACCTATTTCTGCCTATCTCTGATGGTGCCTGTAGGAAATAGGTTTATGCCTATCCCAAGTACCACTATTGTTAGCTGGCAACCAAAATCAACAGCACATAAAGAATGATGCTAGCTATTAATTCCCTGAACTGGTTCCTGTACGGTCTCATCCACTATCCTCTCCCTGTCCCCGAGCTCAAGCCCTCGCACCTGCTCCAGACGGCTCCTCCCCTCCAGGCAGGCTCCTGCAGCAGGGCCTCTGCTCTGGCTGGAGCGGTCTCCTTGGATCACACACAGTGTGTCTTCAGTTCTTCATGGTTTCAGTTCACACATCACTCCTCAGAGACACCTTTCCTGATGACCCACCTCAAATGCCATGTGCCCACTCATACTCTGCTTCTTTTTCTTCCTTTTTTTTTCTTTTTGTGGCAGAGTCTCACTCCATTCCCCAGGCTATAGTGCAGTTATGTGATCTTGACTCACTGTAGCCTCGACCTCCCCAGGCTCAGATGATCCTCCCACCTCAGTCTCCCAAGTAGCTGGGACCACAGGTGTGTGCCATCAAACCTGGCCAATTTTTTTTTTTTTTTTTTTTTTTTTTTTTTGTAGCAAAGGAGTTTTGCTATGTGGCCCAGGCTGGTCTTGAACTCCTGAGCTCAAGCGATCCACCTTCCTTGGCCTCCCAAAGTGCTGGGATTAAAAGCATGAGCCACCATGACTGCTTTTTAAAAATAACAATGACCACCACCTGACACCATAGTCTGTCTCCATTTGCCACGTCTTCCTCAGTAGAATAAGACAGGGACTTTGCTGGCTGCTATCTCTTCTCCTTCAGAAGAGCACTTGGCCCCTCATAGGCATTCCATAGATATTTGTTGAATGAATGTGCTTTTTGCATATTGATTCCTACATTTGATACATTCTCAGGAGGGACATTTGGCCTATGCTTGGGAGAGGGGAGCCTCAGCTGACTTTTCATAATCACGATTCCAGCTCCCTGCCAGACCCCACCTTTCAGCATCCACACTACATGGACTTTGTCCTTTGGGAGCCACTCACCCTATGGATGGCCCTCTGGGTGGTGTTTGTCAAGACAACTCAAGCCTTGGGCGGCCCATTCCTTGCTCTGGGCGAAGGGCGCCCTCCCCTCTCCCCGCATGCTGTTTCTTAGTTGGTGGCTCCAGAGTACTCCTCACCCCAGATGTGGTCAATCCCAGGGTGCCCAAGTGTGAGGTTCACTCAGGGCTTCCCAAGGACCCTTCACTGGGTGTAAGGAGGTGAGAGGAGCAGGGCATAATTCTCTCTAAAGAAGTTCTCACTTTCCCATCTGCCTTGACCAAACTTTGAGCCTTGGGATGAGGGGTGGTTGTTAGGTCTTTGGAGTAGTGTATGTTGGGAGAGAGGCTCACTCCTTAAAACATTCTTGAAACGTGGTCTACCCCTTTCTTTAGAATGTGTTGACACTTGACACTCTTGTTCTAAACCTTGGGACCTCAGAGGACACTATGACCCCAGAAAAATTTCCTTTTACCACCCCATTGTACTTTCCCTATCTTCACTCAGCCTTTTTTTCTTCACTGTTTACATCTATCCCTCTGTATCTACACCACAGCTGCGGCACTGATCCACTTGTGCAGCATCCTCAGTGAGTCACTTCCTTGTCATACCCACCTTGCAAATATAAATGAGCCTCAAATCAATCCAGCTGTCCACCTCATCCAATCTTCCGTGGTGCTGGGCACAGCTGGGGACAATTGCATCATCTCAGAGGCTAGTACCGCTAAACCTTATGCGGAATCCACAACCTGGTCAACTTTGTATATAATTTCCCGTGGTGACTTTTTAATGTTGTACTATTTTGTTATTTCCAGAACTATTTTATTTTTATTGATACACAATAGTTGTACATATTTATGGGGTACAAGTGATATTTTGATATACACATTCAGTGTGTAATGATCAAATCAGAGTAATTGGGATCTCCATCACTTCAAACCTTTATCTTTTCTTTATGTTGGAAACATTCTAATTTTTCTCTTCTATCTATTTTGAACTGTTACTGTTAACTGTAGTCATACTATTATACTATCTAACTCTGTTTTTCTTCCCACTAATCAATCTCTTTTCATTCCCCACCTTCCTCCCTTGGCTCCTCTCTTCCCTTTTCAGTCTCTGGTAACCACCAATCAACTCTCTACCTCCATGAGAATGACTTTTTTAGCTCCCACATATGAGTGAGTACATGCGATATATGTCTTTCTGTGCCTCTCTTATTTCACTTAAGGTAACGACAAATGACAAGATTTTGTTATTTTTATGGCTGAATAATATTCCATTGTGTATATTTACTGCATCTTTTTTATCCATCTGTTGATGGACACTTAAGTTAATCTATATTTTGGCTATTGTGAATAGTGCTGCAAAAAACATAGGAGTGTAGATGTATTTTTGATGGATTGATTTCCAAATAGGCTTTTGCTCCATCTCCCAGGCACAGTGGTTCAATCACAGCTCACTGTAGCCTTGAACTCCTGGGCTCAAGTGATCCTCCTCCTTTAGCCTCCTGAATACGTAGCACTACAGGTGAGTGCCACCACACTGGGCTATTTTATCTTATTATTATTATTTGTAGAGACAGTGTCTTGCTATGTTGCCCAGCTTTGTTGCCTTGCTTTGATCTAATTGCTTATCAGAGCTCCACCTCCTAATATCATCTTTGTTGCAATATGCATCTTGGTTGCAACATATGAATTTTAGGAGGGCACAAACATTCAGTCTATGGTCTCAAACTCCTTGCCTCAAATGATCCCCCTCCTCAGCTTTTTGCTGCTTTTATACCACTGCCATGCTATTTTGGTGATGATGGCTTTGGCTGTTGAAGGTCTTTTGTGATTCCATACACATATTGGGATTGCTTTCTCTATTTCTATAAAGAATGTCATTGGTATTTTTATAGGAATTGCACTGAATCTATATATCACTTTGAGTAGTATTGACATTTTAACAATATTAAATCTTCCAATCCATGAACGTGGGATATTTTTCCATTTCTAATGTCCTCTTACATTTATTTCATCAATGTTTTACAGTTTTTCCTATAGAGATTTTTTACTTCTTTGGTTAAATTTATTTATAGGTATTTTATATATTTTCATAGCTATTATTAATGCAATTGCTTTATTTTTTTTTCAGTTTGTTTGCTATTGGTGTATATAAATGTTACTGATTTTTGTGTGCTGATTTTGTATCCTGCAACTTTACTGATTTTATTAGTTCCAATAGTTTTTTGTGTAGTCCTTAGGTTTTTCTAAATATAAAATTATGCCATCTGTGAACAAGCATAATTTGACTGTTTTCTTTCCAATTTGAATGCCCTTTCTTTCTTTCTCTTGCCTAATGCTCTGGCTAGGACTTCCAGTACTACATTAAATAAAAGTGGTGAAAGTGGGCACTCTTATCTTGTTCTAGATCTTAAAAGAAGGGCATTCAATTTTTCCCCATTCAGTATGTTAGCTGTGGGTTTGTCATATATGGCTTTTATTGTTTGAAGTATGTTCCTTCTATATCCAGTTTGTTGAGTTTCTATCATAAAGGGATGTTAAATTTTGTTAATGCTTTTTCCACATCTATTGAAATGATCATATAGTGTTTGTCTGTGATTCTGTTAATGTAATGTATCACTTTTATTGCATTGGATATGTCAAACTATTCTAACATCCCTGGATGAATTCCACTTAATTATGGTGAATGATTTTTTAAAATGTGCTGTATTCATTTTGCCAGCAGCTATTTTAAATCTTCAGTGCCTTCTTTAAAGCATCATCATACATAAAAAACTTGACACCCCACCCCTGCCTCTGCCTCTGCAACTGATCAATGCTCTGACCAGGACCGTTCAGATCATTTGTGGAGCCCATTGCAAATTGAAAACTGATTCCCTTGTTTAAAAATCAGAAAAAAGTGCCAGGGAAAGTAATAAAACATAAAGCCTGTTTCTTTTCTTTTTGTAGTCTCTCAACTTGTTATGATTTTAAAAAATTTAATGATATTCTAAGTAAACTAAATAAAATTTTTAATTATTCATGTGAATTTTCTTGTTCATCTTTATATTGTACAACCACAATGTTAAATATAAGAGGATTTAACTTGTATGCAGAATCACAGAAATTACGTGTCTTATTTTTTTCAGGGCTTTTACAACAAAATGCCAAAAACTGAGTGGCTTATAAACAATAGAAATTTATTTCTCATGGTTCTGGAGGCTGGAAGTCTAAGACCAAGGTGCTGGCAGAATTGGGGTCTGGTGAGGGTTGTTTCCTGGTTCATAAACGGTGCCTTCTCAATCTAACCTCACATGGTAGAAGTGGTGACAGGTCTCTGTTGGGCCTCTGTAGTAAGATGCCAATCCCATTCATAAGGGCTCTGCCTCTGTGATCTAATTGCCTATCAAAGCCCCCACCTCCTAATATCATCTTTGTTGCAATGTGCATCTTGGTTGCAACGTATGAATTTTAGTGGGACACAAACATTCAGTCTATATCACCACATATTTGTATTTCATAGCTCACACATACATATTTCATAGTGTATTCACACATATGTATTTCATAGCTCACACAGACATATACATTTCATAGCTCACTCATACCTATGCATTTCAGAGCTCACGCATACATTTGTATTTTAGAGCTCACACATACATATTTATTTTGTAGCTCACACATACATATGTATTTCATAGCTCACTCATACATATGTGTCTCATAGCTCACACATACATATGTATCTCATAGCTCACCCATACATATGTATCTCATAGCTCACACATACATATGTATTTCATTCTTAGCAGAGCAGGGGAAACACTGCACCAACTACTCAGTTGATTTGACCTCACTCCTTGACACCCATTCATTCTACCAACACTCTCTAGCTTTGGTTTACTGATGAGAAAGAAAGACCTGAAAGGAAAACGGACTGCAGATTCCTCTGTCTTTCCTGTCCTTCTTTGTCGTCACTTTCAGCACATGTAGTCGTGTAATACAGGGAAGTAACTCGAGTCAGTAGAGCTCTGATAGGGCTCTTGGTTGTCCTTTTTGTTATAATGACATTATCTTCTTTCTGTGTTTGAAGCATGTTCTGGAAGGAAAGAAAAGCGTGGCCTCTGGGGGCTGTCTGTGTGTGGACGTTGTAACCTTAACTCATACATGGTGAGTGCACTGGAATTCTCTGCTCATGGGGCATCAAGAATGCCCTGTGTTCATAAAGCAGCAGGGAGCAACTGTGGTGGGACATGCGTATTGCACATATCTCCTCTGTTCACCAGCATGCTTCCTCGTTTCATTATACTCCACGTACAGACCACAAGGTTGTAGATAAAACTATCAAGGATTTCAAGATGGTGAAGGCAGAGCATTAAACAACATGCCAGTTCCTTCTGGGCTTCTGGACTCATGTGGCTACAAAGGTGATGGACCTGTGATGCTCTCCTGGCCCCCAACAAACACAATTGTATATGGGCTTCCATGTTCTTGCATAGATTTCATCTGGGTTTTTAACTGGCATCATCACCACACTCTATAAGCTTGCTCAAATCTTCCCCAGGCAATGGCAATAACAATCACCACAAGTAAATCTGTAGCTTCTTATCTCTGCTTCACCCCACAGCCAGGCACCTCACAATGCTCCTCAGTCACTCTGCTCAATCCTGTAACTCTTACGTTCTCTCTTGAAAATATCTGACATACTTTGAGGATAGAGGAAAACAGGCAAAGTCTCTGCTCTTTTTTGGGTCACTGTCTCATTCCTGCAAAGTCACACCAGCCGGTTCTAGCACTCATCATGATGTTCACAGTAGGCGGGAGCACCAGGGAGCCAGTGTGGAAATGTTCTCAACGAGAGGTGAGATATTCTTTTATTCTGAGGGTGTCACTCAAGTTCTCAAACTTGAAATGTCTGCAGCACATCAAGGACAGGCACTGGCTGCATTTACAGAATGGGAGATGCAGGTTAAAAAGTAAAACAATGACAGCGTGTGGGTATCTGGATTTTAGAACATAATAAAAATCATGAGCCTACTTGGCATCTGAAAGGGATAATTAGTTACCCTCTTATCTGTCTATTTTTCACCTGTTAAACTGGTATTTTGAATCCGTTGCCCTTGCACTGGAGCCCCTTGGAGTCACGCATCTCCAAATCAAAGAGTCCCTCAAACTTCATGCCCCAGGGAAGTGGAGCTTTATCCCTCAGGGAATCCAGTTTCACAGCTCAGCCTCCACAGACTCCCAGGTAAATTAGAAAGTGTCCTTTGGGGAGAAGGCGAAGGTGCCTGTGGATCTGCAGGAGCTCCGGTCAGGTTTTCTTGGTGCTGTGCCAGCCCAGCTGAAAGGCATTGGAGCCAAATCTCGGGGAAGTGTCTGTAGGGCCACTGGGTCCTGACAGAGCCTCCAGGCAAACAGGGTCTGAGTCCAGCAGCTTTGACCTCACCTGCCCACATACCCAGGGAGCAGCCACAGGCAGATCAGGAAACTCCTGGAGGGCCAGAGGGGCCAGAGGCAGCACCGTGCCTCCTGTGGGCCTGAGTGTCATCTTCCCTGTCAGGCCCACACTCTTCTTCCCCAGGCTCCTCTCTCCTTCTTGGAAAGGAGGTGGGGGTAGTGTCTGACTTTGGAGGAGATGCAGTGGCACCTTAACTGGGGCACTGGATAAATTCATTGGAGAGGTGGCTGCATGGGGATGCTAAGAACTTTCATGACAAAGAACATCAGTGGGCACCAAGCCAAGCCCTGCAGACTGTGATCTGCCAGTCACATGGGCATATTGTGCCACCCACACTGAGCAGCTGAGCCAGCTGGCCCTCTGTTGCCATGGCAGGAGCTTCCTACCACCACTGCTCACACTTTCTCCAGGGCTCCTCATCTCTCTTCACCTGAGGACACTCTCCACACTGCCAGCTCAGCACACACATGCACCCTTGACAAGCCGATCTCTTGGTGACTCCAAAGGTGGAAGGGAAATCCGTAGCACTGACCTTGGTTGGGACCAGACAGCTGGAAAATCTACACCTCTCATCAGAAAAACAAATTTAACTCACATTGATTTTCTATTTCAAAAATTTCTCATGTCCCAAAAGCATATTACAGGATGGTCTTTCTTTTGGATTCTTCACAGCCCAGTCCTAGGTCCGATCAGCACTCCATTTTCTCCTCTGCCAGGCTATTCCCACTCAAGTTAGCATTCACTTTGTTTGAGAATACTTGATCCAATTGCATTGCACAATAATTGAAGAGAATATACATTTTTCTAACATTTTCTCATTAACTCACTTCTTTGCAAGGCTAAGGGTTGAGATAACTGAATTTCCATCTTGCTCATGTTTAGATTTTAATCCATATCTTTTGTTTAATTCTATGGATTAATGGGTGTCTAACATGGGGGTTCTATAGGCCTCAAATTCTCGGCATTTAGATAATTTGCTTGTTTGGGTGTGTGTGGTCTGTTTAACCAGTCTAAGATTCTTAATCATATTGGAATTCTTCTGCCTCCAACTCAAAGGATCTTATTAGCAAAAACCAAAAACTTCTTCCTTTCTGCAGCCACTGGCAAACTAGTTTCTGCAAAAATTTTAGTAAGTCAGCCCTCTCCACTTGCTTTTAAAATCTAAAATAATGTTAATACCAAAGATTGTCATAGGAGATAGGGTATTAAAGGAATATAAAACTAAATGCTGTAGCCACAGGCAGCTCACATATTTCTGTTAAGACAGCCACATTGTTTTGTGTTCATTGTGTGGCTAATTCTAAGATAATTAATGTATTTCCAAATTTGGTGATTGTGATGGTTAATACTGAGTGTCAACTTGATTGGATTGAAGGATACAAAGAATTGATTCTGGGTGTGTCTGTGAGGGTGTTGCCAAAGGAGATTAACATTTGAGTCAGTGGGCTGGGAAAGGCAGATCCACCCTTAACTGGGGTGGGCACAATCTAATCGGCTGCCAGTGAGGCTAGAATATAAGCAGGCAGACCTTGTGATCATGTGAGTTAATACTTAAAAAACTCCTTTATATATATATATATATATATCTATATCTATATCTACATATATATATATATATATATATATATATATATCTATTCCATTAGTTCTGTCCCTCTAGAGAACCCTGACTAATACAAAGATTTACATATATTTCTGTTTAATGTTTATAGTTCCAAAGGCAAAAGATGATTTATTAATTATACCTTAAGTCTTTTCCTCTTGAACCTTTGTGACCCTTCACCTAATAAACAGAGGAATCCTTGCCTAAGATGGGAAGTGAGGTGTGGACAATGAGTTGAAGGAGGTCTAACCAGGAGTCTCTGCTCTTCCTTCATTCATGGCTCATAGATCTGTGGCTTTGGGCAATGCTTTTGATCACCTTGGCTTTCCCTAATCTGCCAGAACAATGGGCTTTGATCTTTAGGGTCTCTTCTCATTAGAAGTGACTCTGAGACTCTTAGCCCAGGAGTGTAGATCATTACACTTTAACGTTTGATGTCATGGGAAATATTAGGCCTCTATGCATCTATGCTGGGGAATGCTCTAATAGCTTGGTGTCTATATGTTGATTCCACAGGGCATAGACTTCTTTTTTTTTTTTGTTTGTACATAAGGAGTTTAATTCTCCATTGAAGACAAGCATTTCTAAGCTGGTGTTTAGAACTTTAGATACAGCTTAACTGAACATTCTGGAGGTAGATTGGGGCAGCTTCATGAGTGTCCAATATGTGTCACAGCACAAACTCCCTACTTCCCCCCACTTCTCAGATGGGGGCCACACTTGGTTTAATGCTCAGTTGTTGCTGAAATTCTTAATAATTTTAGCTTTGAACTTGCATTTTGTGCATGGGCAGAGGAGGTGTAAGCAATGTGTGGTCCTCCATGCCTGGCTGCCCATGTGCATACAGCATTTGTGTTGTGTCATAAGAATTCCCTTGGACCCATGATGTGTGTGAAGTTTAAGGCAAGCCTGTTGAGTCTATGAATGTATTAAGGGCACTGGCAGCCCCAGAGGCCAAGCTTTCCTTTTGAACTAGAACTTGCTTCGAACACAGAGGTGGCAGTGGTATCCTAAGAGACACAACAGCCATGGGACCCCGTCATACCCTTTCTTACTCCTGTCCCCATCATGTCCTTTGTTACTCATGTTTATTCCTGTATTAACCAACCCGTTAAGCTCCAAATGATGACATAGGAGGATTGGGTGATCCGTGGTTCCTTTTTCTTTCTGCCCTTCCTTATTCACCAGTGAGACACTGTTGGTAGAATGTGCACTTATCAAGACCTGAAATAAAAGCAATTGAGTTAGTTTTGTGTACTGTTTCCACAGCTCCAGTAAGAACAAAATACATGGTCATGTTCATGATACTGAATGCCAGTGTGTAATTTCAGTGATTCTGCCTACAAACTAGATGTTCTTAGAGTTTCATTTAAAACTGGCTGGTGTGATATAGAGATGAATGGTGAAATTTATGCTAATAATTAAAACATATGAATATGTATGTACTTATCATGTTGTTGAAAAGAAGTACAGTAAACACCATGCCTATTCAAAAGAGAGATGAGAGAGGAAAGGAAAAAGGTTTATGTCTTGGTACCTTTCACAGCTCTTTTGTTCTTTTCACCTTGCATTGGGTCTTATCACAAGTTGTGTAGCCAGTTCCCTGGGAAATATTGGCTGCTCTCTGGGAAGCCAAGTTATGAGTCATCAATGTTGACCACGGTTAAGTCCACAGTTGCTCCATGTTTAACTCTCAGTGTATAACACAGAGAGAGGGCAGATATTCGACAGATGGGCTGTATAAACACAAGCAGGGCCACTGGAGAGGCTCCTAAGACAGAGCAGGAAACCTGGAGTTGAGACCCAGGTCTGCTAGTCTTGTTGGCTTAAGGGTTGGGACCTTGGCCTTTTCCTTGGTGAATTTTCCCACCTGTAAATTGAGATTGGATCATGAAGGTCATTGTCAATTCTAAGAGAGCCAACGTTAGAACTCAGTGGGTGGCGAGAGCATGAAACACTGGGAAGTAGCTCCCCACCCCCAAGCCACCCTAATCAAACAGAGGACCTTGGTAAACATGGTGTACTCATTATGCAGATGTATGACAAGGAGGGTTCCCTTTTGTATCCTTAGGACTAGATTGCGCCTCTAGACTCCCTCCTGTGTAGAATTTCTCAAGTATCCACTTGTCCATCACTGTCTTTCTGGTTTGGACACAGGAGGGTGGAGACTACACGCGAATATGTTACTTTCTACATTGATTATCTAATCACTGGGTCCAGAAGTCTCTAACTGAAAACTCACACGCACACACCATGCCTTGGACATTAGTGAGGTTCAGTCTTCTTGTTCTGGGACAGATGCGTTCCACACACAGCTCTGCTATTGTTTTTCTCTTTCAAGAGATCTACACTTTGGGGAGAAAGATGAGCTTTTGGTACAACCCCACGCTTTTGAAAGAAGAGTATTCTGCCCCGTGGAGGACTATGAGCAACTGTGCCCCTACACCACTTTCCTTCTCAAGCTCAACTGTGTTTGCTGCCTTCGAAACACAGAGGTCAATATTTATGCTTTACACAAGTGTCCACTTAGCAATTTCTAGCATACCCATGAATTAATAGATAAACTTGTGAAGAACTCAAGAAAAAAGGAATTAGTTTGTTGATGTAAATTGTTACTCAGCTGGAAGTCCAGACAAAATAATCACACAGTTTTACTTGTTGACAGTTGCATTTCCTTAAATCAATCATTTCCGTAATTTTTCTACAGTAGACTGTGACGATTGGTTTGTTAGAGCCCCAGCTAATTCTATCTTATTACTAATATTGCTGGGTTCCTTTTTTAAAAAATGGTATAATCTTCTGAAATAGGAACATTAACTGACCTCCAATAGAAAAGAAACCCTCCTCCATGGTAGCATCTTCTTAATTGAAAAGTGCTTTTTCAATGCAATGAAAGAAATAAAAGAAACACTGCCTTCTATTCATTTAGCCTCACATAAAGATCTAACACAAATGAGTTGTTTTCCTTAAGTCTGAGATTCTCAAGGTAAGTGCTGAGAAAACACGGAGGAGGAAGCTCACTGATGTGAAAATTGACCCAGGCAGGTAAGGACGTTGCAGCTATTGGATAGGAAAGGTATGTAAGTGTGGCTTCGCCTAGGTCCTGTCTGCAGAGTCACTGAAGCGGGAGCCAGGGGAACCAGCCCCTCACTGACTCCCATGGTGGCGTGGTTTGGAATCCTTGAGACCTCAGGTCCACGGAGGGAAGAGTACCCTCATTTATTTCCTGGGAAAACTACATCCCAATGAACTCTGTCACATCGTCATTTTTTTTTTTTTTTCCGACCAAGTCTCACTCTGTCACCAGGCTGGAGTGCAGTGGCACAATCTTGGCCCACTGCAACCTCTGTCTCTGGGATTCAAGTGATTCTCCTGCCTCAGCCTCCCGAGTAGCTGGGACTACAGGCGCCCGCCACCCCGCCCGGCTAATTTTTGCATTTTTAGCAGAGATGGGGTTTCACCATGTTGGCCAGGCTGGTCTTGATCTCTTGACCTTGTGATCTGCCTCCCTCAGCATCGCAAAGTGCTGGGATTACAGGCGTGAGCCACCTTGCCCAGCCGTTTTCTTAAGACTAATCTGAGATCTTCTCTCCTCTATGTCCTGGGAGGCTCCTCCCCTGTGTTTTGAGCTCCGATGACCACTCTCCCTCTGCACGCTGTGCCGTGCTCCTGCCTTGCCTGGCTTTGGCTCCACTTCTGGTACATGCACACTTTCCTTCTCCTGTGTTTGCAAGAAGCACCGATGGGTGCACAGCTGCTTTGTCTCTTTCTCCTTCTTCGGCATGAGTTTAGGATTAATATCTGTTTTATTAGAGCAAGCCAGGGCTTCTGTTGGAGAGATGAGCCCCCACCCCACCCCTTGCTTGACGTGGTGAATGTAGGCACATTTACTTATGCCACAAGGAAATATGGCCACCTTTATGATTTTGAGGAGAGGTTGCACACGGTAATGTGACTTTGCTGCTATGGAACAAATGGTAACCTTTCTGGGGAGAAGGGGAGAGGAGGCTCATATAACAGGGTCCTCTGCCCACAGCTCACTGCCTTTCACCCTCTGTCTCCCACGTGCATCTTCTGCAGGCTCTGCCGCTATTTATTCTTGTCTGATGCTCAGCCTATCTCCCTCTGATGAATGTTCATAATGAGGAGACTTCACACAGGAATAATTTATTTAATAAGTTGTTACTGGAAAACATTGTTTGATGCTGAAAGACCTAAAATGCAGGAAATTATCTGCTTGATTTATGAAAACTATGAATACTGTGATTTAATCATGCTGGCAGAGTAACTGTCCATTGTATTTGAATACCAGTAGATAAATGCCCAAAGAACTCAGGGCTTACTCAGTCCTTAATACACCATAAACGTAAGGCTGACACCCTCTTCTCGTCTCTTCCTTGACTTTCAGAAATATTTTTGTAGATATTTTTTCAGGATAGAAGATATTGAAGAATATACTCTGTCTAAGGTGAGGTGAGAGAAAATAACTGGAACATTTATTGCTAACTTTTAAAAAGGAAACATGACTAGTTTCTACTCAGGTCTCCCTGAAGACGTTGAAAAGATGTTTGCCAACTGAACAATTTTCCAAGGTAGTTTATATACATGCAACTCTATTCCTGTGTGTAAGAGTGAAGGCAATGGATATTAACACTTCTTTTTTCACACTTCTCTCTTTCTTTTTCCTTTCCTGTAATTTTTCAACCACCTAATAAAAAAACCGATAACAGGTGCTTTTATTGAGAAGTACCACTGCTTTACTAGAATGTATTTTAGCCAGGAAATAAATTTTAAATAAGAGCGAAACACTGACAAATTTAGAAAGTAAGACTAGCTAGAATTAATTGAGACTACCAAGAGCTTCCAGGGGCATCACGATGGTGTTAGGGCTCTGGTGAAGAAAATGCTTCAAGATCTGTAACGGCAAGAGACCAGTTGAGGTCTAGGCCCCTACCAGACCGCTGTAATTGGCATAGTATTATGATGCTGTGATTGTATAGTATTGCTTGGGCAAAATGGCTTCACTCCTTCATTCAGCACATTTGAATTCTCCATACTTTCTGCTGTGAGAATTCACATAGTCAGTTTTCAGAATGAATAAAATATGAATTCTTTCTTTTGAAGCTTTCCTAATTTTCATATTTTAAGGTATTAATCTAAATAAAAATGTTCTGGTGTTGTACTTTGTGCCTTAATAAGAGGTATTTTTTCATGATGATAAAACACACACTGGCCGGGCGCGGTGGCTTACGCCTGTAATCCCAGCACTTTGGGAGGCCGAGGCGGGCGGATCACGAGGTCAGGAGATCGAGACCATCCCGGCTAAAACGGTGAAACCCCGTCTCTACTAAAAATACAAAAAATTAGCCGGGCGTAGTGGCGGGCGCCTGTAGTCCCAGCTACTTGGGAGGCTGAGGCAGGAGAATGGCGTGAACCCGGGAGGCGGAGCTTGCAGTGAGCCGAGATCCCGCCACTGCACTCCAGCCTGGGCGACAGAGCGAGACTCCGTCTCAAAAAAAAAAACAAAAAAAAAAAAACTAAGCTTTATTGCTTGGAGTCCAGTAAAAGTTCTGTAACATTTAAAAATGTGTAATTCAAAATAGTTTCTTTGAAACAAGATCTTTCAAAAATTTTATAGTTATAAATAAATGCTAATTAATGCCCCTCCCTTTCTAGAACTGTTATTTAAAAATTTATGTGTATTATTTACGTTCATATTTCTATCCTTTTATTAAATAGCTATTAACAATTATAGCATTACATATTTAAATATGTACATAGCTTCATGTATTAAACATAACACTCAGAAAATGAACATGCTTGTTGAAACTATAACACATTGAATAATTTATTAATTTGTTAATTGTATCTCCTGGCTATAAACATTAGCTATTGTTTCAAAGGCTGCCACCTATAGACATCTACAATTCTTAAGAGAAATGTCTGTGGCTTTACGTATGCGCTGCCCAATATAGTAGATATAGATTAACTATCTCGAATCCAAACATCTGAAACCCAAAATGCTTCAAAATCCAAAAGCTTTTTCAATGCTGACAGGATGCTCAAAACAAAAAATGCTACTTGGAGATTTTGAATTTCAGATTTTTGAATTTGGGATGCTCAATCAGTAAGTATATGATGCAAATATTCCAAAATCTAAAAAAATCCAAAATCTGAAACACTTTTGGTCTCAAGCATTTTGGGTAAGGGATACTCAACCCGGATCAGCCACATGTGGCTATGAAATGCTTGCGATGTCACTAGTCCAAATTAAGATGTTTTGTTAGTGTAAAATACACACTGATTTTAAAAACTTGGTATAAATAAATAATGTAAAAGACATCAACAATTTTTACATTGATCATGCGTTGAAATGATAACCTTTGGATATATTGGGTTAAATAAGATATATTATTACTATTAATTTGATTTTTTACTAACTTTTTAACGTGGCTACTTAAAATTTAAAATTACGTTTGTTCCCCACATTGCGTCTCAATGGGACAGTGCTTCTTCGGCTCCTGCTAGGACCTTGAGCCCACCTGCTTCTCTGCATTCCTCCCTGATGAGCTTCTCCATATTGCTCCTTCCAGGGGAGTTTCTGACACCCGCATGATTGGCTGCTACTGTGTTGTGAATTCAGAGATTTCACGATGCTGATGGCATTCTAGAGGTTGGAAGGTCTCCAGTTCTCAATCATCTCAGAAAACGGACCATCTGTGATTGGTAGCCATGGCCAGGTTGAATAATCCTGATTGTGAAGCCACCCTGTGTAACTTTATATTGGGTTTGTGATTAGTGAGCATTTGCATTTATTAAAAGTGGGCACGCTTAGGGAATTCTTGGGGTTTAATTCCAATAATATTTCAACTCACATTTATTGCGAACAGTGGTTTTAATTAAAAGTCTCCGGCACTTGTGTGTAGGCCTCCTTATCATGAGAGATTGCCTGTGCAGGAACAAAAGAAAGTTCTGCTATTGTTTACAAATGGAATGTGCCTGGTGGAGCTAGAGCTTCTAACCATAGCATTCTGGAAATTAGTCACATATTGCTGTGTATTATGTTTATTACTTAGGATCTTTATGGGTGTTCTTAAAAAGAGACAGCTTCTTGCATCCAGTTTCTTAGAGTCTGGGTAGTAACTTGGGAAAAAAACTGAATTTTATGTATAGTGATATCTTCCTCAAAATTGCTGTCACTCAGTGTTTATTCTAAAAAGTGTTTAGTTTTGACTAATTGATATGCTGGTGAAGGCTGGGCATGGTGGCTCATGCCTGTAATCTCAGCACTTTGGGAGGCCAAGGCGGGAACATCACTTGAGGTCAAGAGTTTGAGACCAGCCCAGACAACAGAGTGAAACCCCATCTCTACTAAAATTACGGAAATTAGGTGGGCGTGGTGGCGGGTGCCTGTAATCCAGCTACTTAGGAGGCTGAAGCAGGAGAATCGCTTGAACTGGGGAGGTAGAGGTTGCAGTGAGCTGAGATTGTACCACTGCATTCCAGCCTGGGTGACAGAGCAAGACTCCACCTGAAAAATAATAATAATAATAAAAACAAAAAATAAAAAATTAAAAAATTAAAAAATATGTATTTTTTTCTTTCTCTCAATTTATTTAACACTTGTTGATTCTTGCAACTTTATCTTTGAGATTTTATGCTCATTTAACCCTCTTTTGGGAGCTTTGTTGCTTTGTTCAGCATTATGTATTTTTATTTCCTGAAAGCAATGCACTTTGTGAAATGAATTGCAAACTGTAAAATAAATGTAGCTTAATAAATAAAACTATATGTACTATTTATGTGGAGGAAAAAAGATTGACCGTAAGAGACAAGCACTCTAATACCACTCATTCTTTATGCCTTTTTAGTCTAGCATTACAAGAAACTTTCAAAAAGATAAAACAGTGGCTAAATACAAAAGGATATATTTTAATTGAAATGTATTTCCAATTGTTAATATTCTCATGAGGGAGAATACTTTCTCTTTGGGGCCTTGTTTCATTTTATAAGTGCAAAAATTTAAAAAAAAATGGATTGGGGGCTTCCACTTCTGCTACAGACGTAAGGCTTATAGTATTCCACAATTTCCACTGACAAGTAGAAAAACTAGATAAAACACCAAACCATTTGTTTGAAGGTTTAATATGATGTCAACATAAAAAAATCAATTATATATATATATATGCATATATATGTGTATGTGTATGTGTGTGTGTGTGTATGTGTATCAGTAACACTGAAAAGTGTTCAATGATACTATTTAAGGTGCATCCAAAAAATCAAAGGGCTGTTTTTAAATCTAGAGAAACATACGTAAGAGCTCTACACTGAAAGTCACAAAACATTATTCAGAGAAATTAACTACCTAAGTAAATGAAAAACTATGCCATTCTCATGGATTTGAAGATCCAATATTATGAAGCTGTCAGTTCTGTAGATAGATATCTGTAGATTCTGGCTTTGTCTGATAAAAAGCATGTGACTCATATGGAAGCATGTAGCTCCCTACACCTAGAGGCTGGTGGTGAGGACCCTGTAAGTAGGCCCAGTATTTTATTCAGAACATAAATTTGCCTCTACTACAATGTCTTACAAGAATTGTAGTTCTGTGCTGTGAAACACACAAGAAAGAACCAAAGTACAGGGTTACCCACTTTCTGAGTGTTAATAATATGGCTGCCTGATTGAGGGGCTTTAATGAGTCCCTACTCATCTTAATAAATCCAAAGGTAAGATTCTTTTAATGCTAACATTAGTCCGTGGCATAATACACTTTGAAGCAATAATATGGCTAATACTTAATGCAGTACTTATTATGTTCCAGGCACTATCCTACGTACCTTCACTATATCAACTCATTTAATCCTCTCTGGATCCTACAAGGTTGGTAACAACACTACTGCCATTTCATAGGAGAGGAAACTGAGGCATGGAGAGGTTGTCACTTGTATAACATCACCCACTGGTAATCTGGGCAGTTTGGTTCTAAATTCTGTATTATTTACCCCTGTACCCTGGTGCCTCTTCTTGATTGGAATTTTTAATAGCCATTATTTTCAACAAAAACAAAAACAAAGCCTTCTATTTTCAAGGATTTTTGTCCCAGTATGTTGGCTTAAAAAGTTTTCTTGACAGTAAGTGTCTTGTAAACTAGAGGACTACTCAAAACCTTTCACATTCCATTATTGTAAAAACTGTGTCTTTAATATATGCAGAATCTTAGTAAGGAGGATGGGCAAAGTAAAATCAAATCAGACTGAATGAAATTGTCCAGACTCAAGTTAAATACAATCTCCCATTATGACACTTGAAACTGGACTTTTTCTGACAAGACTGTTCTGCCTGGAACTGCATGAAGGCTGGGTTTTGAGGATGTCCCATTGGCCACGATAGACCTGGAGCCTCATCACTGAGCCTGGAGAGTCCATCCTTTTGCATCTTAGAAGTCTGATGAATGGGTCGGGTGCGGTGGCTCATGCCTGTAATCCCAGCACTTTGGGAGGCCGAGGCAGGTGGATCACCTGAGGTCAGGAGTTCCAGACCAGCCTGACTAACATGGTGAAACCTCGTCTCTACTAAAAATACAAAAATTAGCTGGGCATGGTGGTGGGTGCCTGTAATCCAGCTACTCGGGAGGCTGAGGCAGGAGAATCACTTGAACCCAGCAGGCAGAGGTTGTAGTGAGTCAAGATCACGCCATTGCACTCCAGCCTGGGTGACAAAGTGAGACTCTGTCTCAAAAAAAAAAAAAAAAAAAAAAAAAAGTCTGATGAATGCTACAAAGATATCTTGGCTGTTGTTTATTTAAAGAGATTGAAAACATTGAAATTTTTAGGAAATTTCTAATTGAATCTACACATAGAATTGGAAATTTTCACGCTTTTACATTTGTTTTTTCCATGTGCTAGAGAAGATCAAGGGTGGCAGCCCTGGGTCTGACAGAGGCATCAACAGGAGGAGGACAAAAGTTGACACTTTACTATGTCAGTGTTAAAGCCAGCCTACAAAGTTTATCTTTGCCTAAATTCCATTTTACTCCATGTCATTATGAGATTAAGAAAGAGAGAATCCTCCCATCTCTTGGCATGGGATTATATAATATGTGTAGTAGCAGTAGCACTAATGATGATATAGGTAACAGTGAAGTTTTGAGGGCTTGCTATATCCAGGTTAAGAGTTTCACATGTATTGCTTACATAATTTTTCCAAAAACTTGAGAGGATAAATAGCATTATGTTGTTCATTTTACACATAAGAATCCTGAAGTGGCCAGAGGCTAAGATAAAAGTAGCAGGGCTGGTAAGTTGTTTAGTTAAATATCAGAAGCAGGGTTAATGTCGGAAGCAGGGGGTTTAGCTTGGATCAGCGATTGCAGCAGACAGGAGTCGCTCCCTTTAGATGCCTTATATATCTGATGAACTCAGTGATGAGAAAGACAAGAGTTTTTGATGTGTGGGTGGTTTGGAGACAAACTGCAGAAGTCTTCATCACACGTAGGAGCAGACATTGCCATACTAGGTTCAGGCTTCCTAGAGGTTTCAGATAAGAAAAAAGCAATTTTACTTAAATCAAAACTATTTTCTGACAGATGCTCAGAAAGCATATTAAGTGTTATAAAACCAGCTGCTTTTATTGAGATTAGTATTTAAGGATATTTTGGAAAATGTCTTTTGAATCATATATTTTAAGTCTTGATATGATTGGAAATGAGTCGTAAGAGTCAAATTTAAACAATAAAGAATTAATTTTCTTAGGATATTCAGATGCAAATGAGAAGGCTGGCACTGGGTTCATGCCACCAAGGATAAAAGTTTGTCACCTGGTGGTGACTTAGAGCCAGCGTAGGCACATGACAACCAGAGCAAAGAATAATGGCCCCATCTGTTTAGAGTAAAGGGTGTGAAACCGCAGATGGAATCACAGTGGGACACATCTTGCTTAATGGGAGAAAGTTGGAAAACATTATTGTCACTAATAATAGTGCAGCCTGTTAGTGATGTTATGAGGATAAACGAGAATGTCTTTAAGAATTTTGCACAGTGCCTGGTCTATTTTGTGCTTGCACGTTGTAAGAAGGTGTTTGTGTTTAGTCTACATTGGTTTGAAAGAAAAATTTAAAAACCTGGGAGAGAAAGTAGTTCGTGTTAGGATCAGGGTTAGGGTTAGACCCTGAAGACTGAGTGCCCTGCAGACTAAACAGTTTCTGTAGCTTTTTCCAAGGATGCCTAGGATGCTTAGAGCATGAGGTTGAAGGGCAGGAGCCAGCTAGCCCCAGATTAGTGCAGGATCTCTACCACGCCAGCTGAGGGAGGGTCTGGAGGAAGGAAGGGACTTTTCTCTTGCTAGACTTTTCATCTCAGCAAAGGCCTTTAAACCTAGTCATGTGTCTTTCCTGTCATACAAATCAGTTAATTAAACTTTCTTTTTAAAAGAAAGCCTAGAACTTGCTTTCATTTAAAAACATTTCAAAATTAACTTTATACCCTAGCTCAGTGGTCCCCATATTTCTATTCTTGCTATTTCACAGCCTGCCCAAATTTGTGCCTATTTCCCAGCTTTTTCTAACACAATACTTTGAAACAATATATTAACATATAATAATGTTGAACATAAGAAAAACTGGAAAAATAAAATCAGGTAAATACTTCTTCTTTTCCAAATATAAAATGTCAACATAGATGCCCAAAGAAACTATTTTTCTTTACACTGATAGCCCTAATTGAGAAGAATTTCACAAAGGAGCTTTCATTTGAAAAACTCTTAACTCTGTGACCTCGAACAGTGCAGAATTAACCATGGTGCCCTTGAATTCAGCAACCTTGCCTGGGTCCTTCTTAATTAGTAAGTCCTTTAGAGGGCATGTTAGGAAATGAAAATGAAACATTTATATTGTGTACCCACATTCTAAGAATAATTTTTAAACAATATACTTAAACACTCAAACCTAGTTTAATTATACATTTTTCCAATATAACGGTTCTTAAAAATCGTGAATGAATAATTTCACTCAATTATGAGTTGAGTAACACTTCTAAGGGCTCACAATTATTAAAAAGACACACTTTCAAATAACCTATTCCGAGGACATATGATACTAATTATTGTGAAATTAATGTTTTGAGGAAAATTATATCACATAAAATCTGATGTTAAAATACCAGATTTCATAAAGGTTACTAATGTTATAACATCATTGAATAGCATTTCATGTGTATGTACATGACTTATTTTTTATTGCAAAGCAAAAGTAGTCCAAATGTATAATACACTTAATTGGGGAGAATTCTAACATGAATGATAGATTTAGGAGGTTTTAGAATATCTAAAATTTACTTGTTTGCAGTTGATCCACATGATTCTATTTAAATTGGCCCATCCTTTTCTGATGTTTATTTTCTTTTTCTGACTTTTTTTTTGTAATGTATTTTATCTTCAAATGTTGTGCTGTTTGGCCTTTGCTTATGAAAAATGAGATTCCATCTTGCTCCGCTGATGTTTTAAAAAATGTCATCAAGATAATATTCTCAAGGATTCCATGTTGAATAGTAATATTTTGATTTTCCTTGCATTATCACTTGAAGGCAATTTTCACAATTGGTGGGTTCCTGCCTTAGTAGTCTGTGTTTCCATGTATTTGCTTTTCCTCATGATTCTACCTTGTTTCTGGCTATTTTGTTTTGAGATTTCAGTTTTGAATGGTTTAAAACGGTGTTGGGTGACCAGAAACTGACGCAGCTCTTGACATACCTGTGAAAATATCCATGAAAACACGGGGGAAATTCACAATAGTGCTGAAACTGAGGCACACAGTCCATCTGTAGCTAGGATCTGGGGGCATGCCACCAGCTGCAGGGCTGGGGGCGCTCGGCTGCGGTCTGTTATCCGGGGCTGACCCGTATATGCCTTTTGGAGTGGACTGGGGGACCGTCTTTCCTCCCAGCACGCATCCTGCCAAAAAGGCGGGTCAGCTCCAACCAGCAGGTGGATGAATGACAGCTACTCTACAAAAAGCCAGCGAGGCGTTTTAAATATACTAGCTTAGGTAATGCCTAACTGCCACATAGGTGCTAAGCTTATTCCTATTTTGTGGATGAAACTGAAGTGATTTTTCCGAGGTCCCGGAAGTTGGAGGGGCAGGGCTCGCCTTTAAGCTGCGCATGTCGAGGTCACTTCAACGCTCTGCCTGTTACCCTCTTCTCCCAGCCCGCTCAGGAGGGCAGCTTTGGGAGGCAGCCGGAATCCTCTTCTCATTCTCCATCCGACATCTCCTCCTTCTGTCAAGAAGCTCCATCTCCAGGAAACTACTGGACACACCGTAGGGATGGACACGCAAGGATGAACCTTGCCCCTGGAGTTAGAGACCCCACAAGTGCAGTTTGCAGGTAGAAACGGAGCCGGTGAGATTCTCAGTAGCCGCATGTGCTGAGAATGCTACCTAAGATGAAAAGAGAAATAGGAGAGAGAAGAAAACAAAAAAGTGTGAATTATAGCCCCCGATCAAAAAGTCAGTGAAAAGTAAAACAGACTTTGGAAAGCCCAGGCGATGTCAAACGGGGGCTTGTAAAGCTCTCTCACAGCTTAGGTAAAAAGAGAAAAGAGATTAGAGGTGTTCCAAAGATGCGGGACAACTTGAACAAAAGCAGTGATCACGTAAGTGCTGAAGAAAACGCTTCAGAGATGAAAAAGATGCCTGAGAAATGGAGATAGAGTTCAGTCTTTATCTGAATTGAAAAGACAGCTGTACGTCCTTCCCTTCCGGCATGTTTTATGAGTTACAATGATGAAGAAAAAGTGTTACAAATACCCGAGGAAAAACAATAAGCTTTTCTCCAAATGGGGGAAAAAAAAGACACTGGCATCATACTTCCTTACAACATGAAATGCAAGAGATTTTAAGGCATGCCATACAGATATTTGTGAAGAAAAGCTCATGAAGTAGGAATAGTTTTTACCTTCCTAAGAGAAGGTGACAGAAACTTCTTATACACATGGCATCAGAAATATTCAATAAATATGCAATTTCCGAACAATGTGTTTGGAAGATAAACTCCAGGTAACCAAGGGAAAATATAAAAATTGAAGGCCGGGCGCGGTGGCTCACGCCTGTAATCCCAGCACTTTGGGAGGCTGAGGTGGGCGGATCAAGAGGTCAGGGGACTGAGACCATCCTGGCTAACACGATGAAACCCCGTCTCTACTAAAAATACAAAAAAAAAAAAAAAAAAAAAAAAAAAAAATTACCCGGGTGTGGTGGCGGGCGCCTGTAGTCCCAGCTACTGGGAGGCTGAGGCAGGAGAATGGCATGAAGTGGGGAGATGGAGCTTGCAGTGAGCCGAGATCGTGCCACTGCACTCCAGCCTAGGCGACAGAGTGAGACTCCATCTCAAAAAAAAAAAAAAAAAAAAAAAAAAATTGAAGACACACAGGAAAGACAATGGGTTAAAAAAGTGGTGGACATATTTTTAGAAGTATTAATGCTTAGGGCTGGGCGTGGTGGCTCACGCCTGTAATCCCAGCACTTTGGGGGGCCCAGCGGGCGGATCATGAGGTCAGGAGTTCGAGACCAGCCTGACCAACATGGTGAAACCCCGTCTCTACTAAAAATACAAAAATTAGCTGGGCATGGTGGCGTGCTTCCGTAGTCCCAGCTATTCGGGAGGCTGAGGCGGGAGATTTGCTTGAATCCGGGAGGTGGAGGTTGCAGTGAGCTGAGATCGCACCACTGTACTCCAGCCTGGGCAACAGATTGAGACTCCATCTAAAAAAAAAGAAGTATTAATGCACAATGAGCAAATGATTATGAACATCCAGGGTAGAATTCCCCTCAACAAACCAGGAAATACTGCAAGAAATTTTTATTGTTTTAACATATGGATAGACATAGAGTGCAGATAAATTGATTTTTATCCTTGAATTACATTGTATTAATTTGAGTTCAAATGAATACAATTAAATATGGTTGTAACTGTAACTGTGGTAAAAACTCTGAAAAACGTAAGGTTCATTACTAATGTTGTGATTCAGTTACTTTTTTTCTTTCTACTTTACTGCGTTTCCTAATGGGCATATATCACTTTAAAAAAGCATCATATATAAAAAGTGCACATACCAGCAGATTTCCATAAATTAAACATAACTGTGTAACTAGCACCCAGGTAAGGAAATGGACCATTAACTGCGTTTGAGAGATTTCTCTCCTCCAAACCAGGCTCTACGCACTTACTTCTATCAGCATAGATTAGTTGTCTTGATTTATTATTTTATATAGTATATATTCTTTGTGTTTAGCTTCTTTCTCTAACATTCTGTTTTGTTCAGTAGTTGCTATAGCTTAATACTTATTATCAATCTCGCATAATGTTCCAAAAGTGCATAAACTACAATTTATTTACCTATTCTATGCTTGATGACTATTTGGATAATTGCAAGTTTTTGGCTGTTATGAGCAATGTTGCTATGAACATTCTAGTTCATGACTTTTGGTGGATGAATGTATGCATTTCTGTGGGGCATAGAGACCTAGGAGTAGAAGTGCTGGATTATGGTGTAGTCCCATGTCTCTTTCAGATGAAACTGCTAAATGATTTTCCAAAATGTTTGTGACAGTTTACTGTCTTACAAGCAGCATATGAGAGGGATGTGAAGGGTCACTCTACATCCTTTTGACACTAGTATTTACATCTTTCTCATTTTAGTCATTCTGGGGGTATGCAGTCTTATGGCACTGTGACTTTAATTTGCATCTCCATGCTGACTGATAAAGTTGAGTAGCTTTTCATTTGTTCATTGGTTTTTCAGGTATTCTCTTTTTGAGAAGAGTTTGTTCATCGCTTTTATTTAGTTCTTCATTGGGTTGCTGGTGCAGTAGGCCCTCTGTATCTGTGGGTTCAAACAAGCACAGATCAGAAATATTTGGAAAAAGTAACAATACAAAATAATATTCATATGGTTTGGCTCTGTCCCCACCCAAATCTCATCTTGAATTGTAGCTCTCATTATCCCCACGTGTGGTGGGAGGGACCCCGTGAGAGGTAATGGAATCATGGGGGTGAGTTTTCCTGTGCTGTTCTCATGATAGTGAATAAGTCTCACAAAATCTGATGGTTTTATACATGGTGATTCCCCTGCATATGCTCTCTTGCCTGTCACCATGTAAGACATGCCTTTGCTCCTCCTTCCCCTTCTGCCATGATTGAGGCCTCCCCAGCCATGTGAAACTGTGAGTTCATTAAACTTCTTTTTTTAATAAATTTCCCAGTCTCAGGTATTTCTTCGTAGCAGTATGAAAATGGACTAATACAAATACAAAAAATATAGTATGACAATTGCATAGCATTTACATAGCATTTACATTGTATTAGGTAATGTAAGTAATCTGGAGATGATTTAATGTATAAGGGAGGATAATCTAGAGATGATTTAAAGTGTACAGGAGGATTGTGTAGTTATATGTAAATACCACTCCATTTTATACCAGGGACTTGAGCATCTGCAAATTTTGGTATCTACTGGAAGTCCTGGAACCAATCACTTCCTAATACCAAGTGACAACTGTATATTTTTTTCTATTGATTTGTAGGAGTTCTTTATATATTGTGGATATGAAGTCTTTTTTCAAATATATGTATTTTTGAATCTCTTCTCGCACTGTCTGCCTGGCCTTTTCACTATCTGAATGGTGACTTCTGACCTTCTTAACTTTAACGTAGAACAATTTATCAGTTTTCTTTATTGTTAGAACCTAACTACTTACCGTTTAAGAAATCTTTTCCTACTCCAAGGTCACAAAAATTTCCTTTATATTTTCCTCTAAAAGCTTTATTGTTTGCTTTTCCCAGTTGGATCTGAAATCTATCAGAAATTGATTTTTCTGTATGGTGTTCAAATACATTTTGTTTCCCACTGGGACAGCCTATCAACCCAGCCTTTAGAGGCCAATCCTTTCCTTGCCACACCACAAAGGTGGCTTTCCTTTAAAATAAGACACCTGCATGTGGGGTCTGTTTCTAGACCCTGTTTTGTTCCAGTGGTCACTTTGTCTATCCTGATGTTTCCAAATTAAAAATGGCTTTCTCTTTCTTATCCTTCCATTCATTGCAGATGTATTAGGTGGTGGAGAGAGAGGGATTTTCTTTGGAATTGAGAAGAAATGGAATTGAATTTCAGCTTAGTGGGTGGTGCTTTGTATATTCCAAGAAAATGCAGATATTTTGGGTTTGAGGGATGTTGCTAATTTTAACTCCTAAGTATCTGGTGACAAGGTCAGAACTGACTAAAAGGAAGAGGGTAGAGGGCTGTATCTGTTTGCCTGCATATTTATGCACAGATGCATGTGTGTAAGTCTATTTCGGGAAGATGACTTGTATCAGCATGGGAGGGATTTATGACTAGACCTCCAATGACATCAGTTTCTTTTATTGCCTCAGGCAATTAGATGTTGTTGTTATTCATCTAACTAATGGAGAGCAATGACCAAAAGGACATATGTTAAAGTTAAATTTTAGCAAATGTGTACCAATGTTGATTACAGCAGGAGGGTCAAAAAAACAGAGAACAGCCCAGGCCTATGCTTGTTACAAGGAAAACAAAAGTCTGTGAAATCAAAAGACTTGGGTTGATTTCCTAACCTTATATCATTTGTGGCACTCTAAGTGTGAATAAATGTTCTTTACAGACTGCTAAAAATGTCCTCCAAAATGTTCATCTTAACTGAATAACACAAGTAAGAGTGTTGCTTGTCATCTACTTTGAATCAATCAATGCAGACCTCACCCAGGACAAAGTTTAGAACTTTCTCCACAAGGTTAAAAACAGTACTCATGGCTGGGCACAGTGGCTCAAGCCTGTAATCCCATCACTTTGAGAGCCCGAGGTGGGCGAATCACCTGAGGTCAGGAGTTTGAGACCAGCCTGGCCAACATGATGAAACCCCATCTCTACTAAAAATACAAAAATTAGCCGGGCGTGATGGTGGGCACCTGTAATCCCAGCTATCGGGAGGCTGAAACAGGAGAATAGCTTGAACCCGGGAGGCAGAGGTTGCAGTGAGCCGAGATTGTGCCACTGCACTCCAGCCTGGGTGACAGAGTGAGACTCTGTCTCAAAAAAACGAAAACAAAAACAAGAAAAACATAGTACTCATGCAAGGTAGATAAAAATCTGTTGCATACACTCTACATGGCTTCACAATGGCATTTTAGCACTTTGAGATACGCTAGTTTAAAAGCTTAAAACCATAGAAATCTTATTCTACAGCCTGTTGGTCTGTTGTTTAGATTTAATTTATATTTAATTAGATATAGGGTCTACGATGGTTTGGTAAAAACAATGATCATTTGGTAAAATAGAAAGGTTAAGCTATTAGACTATGACTATGACGTTAATAGAAATGTGTGCCATGTCTGTGGGTTCTGTCTGTCTCTCAGTCTCTCTATGTCTCTTTCTGTCTTTCTCTGTCTTCATAGCTGGGTGTATTGCATTTTTTCCTCCAACAGAGTTAGAAAAACGGAAGAAGATTGAATGAAGGAGAATCTTAGTGTTCCTGGTTCAGACTCAGACACAGATGCAAGGGCAGCTGAATGAGGATTACAGGAATCTGGGGAAGGGGAAGGCTTGAAATCCTATTTTTGAATGCGGCAGAGTGCAGAATGGAGAGCTTGTTTTCCTTAAGAAAGTCCTGCTGCGGGATGACAGCAGTGGCAGAGGAGGGCTTGCCACAATCAGCAGCTTCATAGGAACTGGTAAATGGGGAGAGGTCTTAATCTGGGTACTTAGCAGCGTTTGACAATCAGCAGTGTCCGGCTTCCCAGGATAAAGAAGATCTGGTGGCAAAAAGGACTTCGGAAAAGCGCGCCTCCAGTGCTAATCAGCAGTGAGTGCATTTGTTGAACACGCTTTGTGAAATGGAAATGCCTACATGCTTCTTTTGTTAAGACATTTTATAGACCTTTCCCTCTCTTTCCCTTTTGCTTAGGAGTGGGGAAATCAAGAAACCCAGACCTGCACATTTCCAGGCCCTCTTTCTAGGGTGGCAGAGCCTGGCTGGTGGGGTGGCTGTCAGCTGTCTCCGTGGGAAGACCATCCACCCTGTCCACCAGGGTGTGGAGGGCTTTCCAGGCTTCTTTTAACACAGAAGGAAGGAATTGAATACAATTCACATGTAAAGACAGAGATGAACTGGAAAGTTTGAGGTCATCCAATCATCTCACCAGTTTTTTCATTTTATATTTTAGGGAATGTGTAAAAACTGCAGAGATTTCATACAACCATGATATTTTCAATGGCTTTGTGTGAGGTTAAATCCAATTTGTACTAGTTCTACTCACTATTAGCTCCTTTCACCCTTGGGCACCTTCTCTATACACACACCCCAGTTACGAGCCATCCATGCTGGTGTCTGGCCCTTTGCTCTTTGAGGGCAGAGCATGGAGGTGGTCTTGCCACGGCTCGGTATTCCTCCTTGCGGTGGACAGGGAAGGCTGTTTCACTAGAGCAGTCAGATAATATGATCAGGAAAGCACTATGTTGAAAAAGAAGGCTTTGATGGAAGGGAGAGTGGGGGCTGAAAGAGCACTTCCTGCCTGGGGTGCCCAGGCAAGCCCAGGGGCTGTGGACAAAGGGATTGTTTGCTCTCTCTTTACAAGGCAGGATGGCTGCTGGAGCCAAATTGCCCGCCACAGTTTGCAGATGGCTGCCAAAGTCCTGTCCCCTTCTTAATAGGGATATTTGTCTTTGGGAAACACTTGAAGTTCTACTTCTGTGGTTTCTAGGGCATGAGAATTTTCAGTCCTGGAAAAAGAATTTTAAAAAAGTCCTTTTCTTTGCTAGCAAATACAGAGGCTGACCGCCCCCCAGCCTAGGGCTAGCTTTGTTTTTAGCTCAGAGGTTGTCTTTAATCCAAGCCAATGGAACAAAAGCTGATTATCTCACCTTTAAATAGAGGGATTTCAGCAGAAACAGTGAAGCGTTCTGGGGAGGAGAAGTGGGAGGCAGTCAGGATGTCCCTCCACAGTCCCCGGGCACCCTGCCACCAAGGAAGCGCATGAGAAAGAACACACGCGCACACAGAAGCCACCACGGCAGACACTGGACACATTCTTCATAGCTGCTTGTATTTATAGAACAAGGAGACGAATTAAACAGCTATATTAATTCATTTGTTAGAAGAAACTCTGGTTTCTCAACTAACAGTTTATCTGTTTATGCATGCAGAATGTCATGCAGATAGTTAGGTTTGCTAAAGGTAATTTTCCTCCTCTGTCTTCACAATCTGGCGCTAAATGCTGCGGCTGTTTTTCAGGAAGGCGCTGTCCTTGACTGTTTCTGAATCTTTGCAAATCCGAAGCAACGCCTGTCTTCAAAAGAGGAGGCCGACCCTTTCAGCGAAGCAGGGACTGAACTAGCGCAGGTCAAAACCGGTGTGTCTGCTTTGGTTGTGATACAACTTAACACGTTCTTTAACTTCAACCTTGGACCTCATTTTATTATTAAAAACACTAAAAGAAAACTTTCTTTTGTGATATCAGGAAATTCACTTTTTGTGCTTCAGGTTCTCCATCTGTAAAACGGAATAGACAAGCACCTCCTACTTGAAAGATTGATAATATCTATCAAAATTTATTATGATCTCTGAATTATGAAAGATTTCTTGTTAAAGTATATTTTATATACAAACACACACTTGGCTTCCAAGTTATTATTGAAAATATGCAAATTTATCTTGGGCGCATTTTAATAATAAAAATTGATCATCATGTATTGAGAATCATATAATAATCACAGTACTAGCTACTTTAAATACATCATTTTCTTTCATTTATATAGCCCTGCTATATGTAGGTATATAAGCCTCATTTTATAGGTAAGAAAATTAAAATCCTAAAAGTTGATAGACCTATCCACATGCATGTAGTAAGTGGTGGCCCTGAGATTCAAATCCAAAGATTCCAAAGCCTGCCCACTTAATCATGACCGTGTACTCACAGTGAAAAATCCCCTGTACCTCAATGATACCCAGTGTTTGCATGGCTTGCCTCTGTGAGACATAGATAGAGCTCATTAATGGCGGGCACAATTTTTTAGGTCCACAGACTTTATTTCCTGTTAAGATTGCAACGAAAAGCAAAATGCACCCGTAGCTTGGCCCCAGAGCACAATTCCTGCACAGTAATTAAGTGAAACCACAAGGCATGTGGCTCACCCCACCCACAGAAGGATGATGAGTTTTTCTGTTCAAATGATGGTACTAGACCTGTTCTTCAGGAATCTCTGCCTTGGATAATAAAGTCCCTTCTTTTAAAATACCAAACTTTGTGCCAGGAGAAGCTAGATCCCTCTTAAACATGGAAGTGTTGACTTTGAAGCATGGATACTTGGTAAAATGGTTTAAAAACTGATGCAAAAGAGCAATCAGGACTAGCTCAGCAAGTTGAGAGAAAGCCCGTGTTGTGATCATACACGGAAATATCATAATGAGCTCAGCTCTTCTGACAACATGTCACAGTAAATAGAGAGATGCTTTTGTTGGGAATAAACATTTTTTTGGCACTTTCTGCGTTTTCCTGATTCACTGTGTACCATTAAACTTTTTACAATGCTTAGTTTATTTTAGGGACAAGACATTACATTCAAATTACATCTTGAATGAGATTTACTCAGTTCACATCTCATTGAGGGAATATCTCATTATCCAAGCTCTTATTTCTAATGTAGATGAATGAACCACACCTTAATGGCAGGTTAGAAAATGTTAGGTTGATTCTGTTGTCCAGAAATATCCTTGTGTCAAAGTTATTTTTTGATCTTACATATTTCTCATTGCTGGACATTTTTTTGGAGAAGGGCCTGCGAAATATTAATGTGTGTGTATGTACATTTCCCAAAGTAATAAAATTGATAAAGAGTCCCTGCTCAGCCCCAAGCCATAATTTAATATTTCACTGTTGATTACTGACACTATATTTTCAGTGAAACTTGTACTTGTGTCACACTGGGTATAAATGGTGTTTCAAGCTCTGCCAGAAAATCTTGCAAACCCTGACTTGCACCGAATCTCAAACTGGGCTGTCTATAACTCCCCGCCTCCTTGTCTTCCTGCTATTGGCTACATATTTTCAAGGAGAAGTCAAATCTGTATAGAAACAGAAAGCCTTTACTTGCCATTAATTTGAAAGAAAATTATATCACTCGATTTTCTTCCTTCACCTGCAGATAAGCATTTTGCAGCATTTTTTTTAAAGTGCAAAGGGTATCTTCTCAATGGAAGCTCTTGTGCAGTTCTTCCTGGCTTCCCACACAGGAGCAGAGGGTTTTATTTATTATTAGTTTTTAAATTGTCATCTCCTTGTGCTCCTCTCTACTTGAGGTTAGGGTTCACTATTTTCTAAGAGTATAGTGTACCACTAAAGAAAACTGAAAGGAGGTATTTTTTAAAGTGATAAATAGGATTTTCAATCTAAATGAATTAAATGATTTGGGTTTAAAAAGAAAGTCAAACAATTATAACTTAAGACTGATAGTTTCATATTGGTAGAGTGTTAGAGAACCTATACATTTGTTTACTATGTATGTTCTTTAGAGAAGGAGACACAATCAAATTCCTTTAGTTGTATAATTTGAAGTCAGGTAATATAATACCTGATGCTTTTATTCTTTTTGCTCAGAATTGCTTTGGCTATTGAGGCTGTGGTTTTTTTGGTTCCATATGAATTTTAGGGTTGTTTTTTCTAATTCTGTGAAGAATGATATTGGTAATTTGATAGGAGTTACATTGACTCTGTAGATTACTTTTGTCGGTATGGCCATTTTAACGATGTTGATTCTTCTGATCCATGAGCATGGGATATTTTTCCATTTGTTTGTGTTATCTATTATGTCTTTCACCAGTGTTTTGTAGTTCTCTTTGTAGAGATCTTTAGCGTCCTTGGTTAAATGTATTCCTAGGTATTTTATTGGATTTTTATTGCCATTATAAATAGGATTGAGTTCTTGATTTGGTTCTCAGCTTGAACATTATTGTTGTATAGAAATGCTGCTGAATTTTACACATGGATTTTGAATCCTGAAACTTTGCTAAAGTCTTTATTCAAATAGAGGAGTCTTCTGGAGGAGTGTGTAGGGTTTCCTAAAGTATAAGATCAGGTAGTCAGTGAACAAAGACAAAAATAGCATGGCATGGTATAAAAATAGATACATAGACCAACGGAACAGAATGGAGAGCCCAGAAATAAAGCCACATGCCTACAACCAACTGATTTTTGACAATGTCAACAAAAATATACACTAGGGAAAGGATACTCTAGTCAATAAATGGTGCTGGGAAAATTGGAAAGCCATATGCAGAAGAATGAAATTGGACCCCTCTCTCTCTCAACATACACAAAAATTAACTCTAGGTGGATTAATTAAAGACTTAAATGTAAGGCCCAAAACTATAAAAATACCAGAAGAAAACCTATGAGAAATTTTTTCAGTCATTAGTCTAGGCAAAGAATTTATGTCCAAGTCCTCAAAAAAAAGTAACAAAACCAAAAATAAACAAGTGGAACTTAATTATACTAAAAAGCTTCTGCAGAGCCAAAGAAATAAGTGAAACACAACCTACAGAATGGGAGAAAATATTTGCAAACAATGCATCTGACCGAAGGTTAATATCCAGAATCTACAGGGAACTCAAACAACTCAACAACCCACCCCTACACAAATAACCCCATTAAAAAGTGGACAGAGGACATGAACAAAAATTTTTCAAAAGAAGACATACAAGCAACCAACAAACAGATGAAAAATGTTCAACATCACTGATCATCAGAGAAATGTGAATTAAAACCGCAATGAGGTACCATCTCATACCAGTCAGAATAACTATTATTAAAAATTCAAAAAACAACAGATGTTGGTGAGGGTGCAGAGAAAAGGGAACACTTATACACTGTTGGTAGGAATGTAAACTAGTGTAACCTCTATGGAAAGCAGTATGGACATTTTTTAAAGATACAAAAATAGAACTGCCTTTTGACCCAGCAATCTCTTTACTGGGTATTTCAAAGGAAAATACATAATTATATCAAAAAGATACCTGCACTCATATGTTTATTGCAGCACTATTCACAATAGTAAAGTTGTGAAGTCAACCTAAGTGCCCATCAGTGGATGACTGGATAAAACAATCCAATTATCCATTTACAATTGGATGTAATATACATGTACCATGGAATACCACTCAGCCACAAAAAAGAATGAAATCATGTCCTTTGCAGAAACATGGGTGGAACTGGAAGCCATTATCCTTAGTGAAATGACTCAGAAAGGAAGTAGAAAACCATGTGTTTTTACTTTTAGGTGGGAGCTAAACATTGGGTACACAGAGACATATGAGTGGAAAAATAGACATCAGAGACTCCAAAAGCTGGAAGGGATGGGTGCAGGATGAAATACGACCTATTGGGTACAGTGTACACTGTCTGGGTGATGGGTACACTAAAAGCCCAGACATCGCCCCTATGAAATACATCGAAATAACACAACTGCACTTGTGTCTCTAAATCTATAAAAGTAAAAAATAATTTAAAACTAGTTAGGTCTATTCTATTCCACATTTGGCACATGCCAATAATTTTATACCTGAAACTGCTCACTCCAAAAGTTATTTATAACAACGTGGCATCTTAAAAAATGCAGTTTTTAGTTTCATATATCAAATTTTCACAGAGGACTATATTCTGGAGTAGATCACACAAGGGTGAATGTTAGTTTTTTGTTTTACAATTCCTGCAAGTCCATTAGAAGTGAGAGGCAAAGAAACCAGGGAGAAAATGTGCTGAATAGAGGCTGAACTTAACAGTTATTATCTTGAGTGTTTCCCAATGTAAACTTGGGTTATAGTTTTGTATTCAGCCACTCATTTATTCATCCAGCATTTATTTATGGATGCCAAGTACAGGTCTTAGTGCTGTACCCAGAGTTAGTAAAAATGTGAAGTTAGGAGCACAGTCTCTAGATGGCCAAGTGAACCCAAGACTTCTCACCCAACTGCAAGGAGTTAGGGTCCAACTGCATGAGTTAGATGGAAGAGCGCACAGAAGGCCATCCTCACTCCTGACACCAACTGCAAGCTTGGGGTTTTCCTGCAAATACTCACGGTTTTGATAAGCACTAGAATGACTCAGAACTCACGGGAACCTATTATACCCATGGTTGTATTTGTTACAGAAAACATATACATTAAAATCAACCAAGGATAGAGATTTATAGGACAGAGTCTGGGAAGATTCCAATAGTGAAGAAAGTCTCCGTTGTTCTCAAGACTTGTGACCCTCCCAGATCAATGTGTGATGATATGCATGGAGTATTGCCTACTGGGAAGGTCACCCAATCTTTGGTCTCCAGAGTCTTTAATGTGCTTCATTATGTAGGTATGATTGATTGATTAATTTTCCACATGATTGAATTCTTGGAGGTGAAGCAGATATCATGTGCCTGAGAGGCTCACCTCTCAGGTAACAAGAGTCACCTTGTTAGCTTGAGCTATTAGATGTGATCCACAGGGCCTATCATGAATACTAAAAACACTACCATCACTTGAGAAATCAGAAGGGTTCAGAGATTACTCTCAAGGAGCTGGGGCTTAAGGCCAGACCTCTCTTTGGGCCAAATCCCTTTGCTACACAGATGGGGAAACAGCTGTAAACAAATTGAAGTTCTGGCCTACGTGTGGTTCATAATCTAGGATGGAGATGCACAGTGACTAAGTGAAATAGGTGAAAATGGATTGCACACGTGAATACATTAGAGAGTAGGGGAAAAATAAGGAGAGGAGACAGAGAGTATTGAGGTGGTGAATGGTAACATTTTAGATCTGGTGACAAAGACAGGCTTCAGTGAGAAGAAGGGATTTGGCAAACATTTGAAGGAGGTGAGGAAGAGAGGCAGGTGGACATCAGGTGTCAGGGAAGGACTTTCCAGGAGACAGAAATGTGCCTACAGTGTTCCAGGAGCAGCATGGCACAAGGACACGATGGAGAAGGAAAACGAGGCTGGGGAAGCAGCACTGTGCATGAAGAAAGCAGACCTCGTGGGGCCCCATGTGTCACTGTCATTTGGTTTTGGTCTCAGAGACGTGAGAAGCCATGAGAGGACATCCTCCAAATGACAGTGGATCATAAGCCCCTAAGAACTCTGCTGGAAACAGACCTAGAGGGAGCCTGGATAGTCACAGGACCCTTGGGGACCCTGCAGTCTGCAGCAAGGAATGCTGAGGGCTTGGACTAAAGAGGAGGACTTAGAGGGGGTGAGAATCGGCTAGATTCCAAATGTATTTCTGAAAGTAAACCTGGGAGGATTTTTTGATGGATAAGATGTGGGACCCAAGACAAAGAGAGGAGTCAGATGTAATATTTTCAGCCTGAGAACTGAAAGAAAAGAACGACCATTTGTAGGGATGCTGAGGACTGTCGGAGAAGGAGCTTTAGCGGGGACAGTGAAGAGTTTCATTCAGGAGTGTTGAGTTTGATGGAGATGGAGGATAGAGGATGGAGGCAGCTGGATTTCAGAAGGTTGGAAGGAGGTTCAGACTGAAGATATCAGCTGAGGAGGCACACCAGGTCGATGATATTTAAAGCCACGAGATTGGGAGAGATCACCCAGGGAGTGAGGGTAGATAGAAGAGAGCCCAGGAATGGAGTCCAGGGGCTCCCTCATTTTGAGTTTAAGAAAATGAGGAAGAATTAGAAAATATGTTTGAGAAAGAGTAACTGCAATGGGAGGAGAAGATGAAAGAGTTTGGGGTGTTCTAAAATCCGAGTGAGGAAAATATTTTAAAGAACATGGTGCCCTTGCCAAGGCAGTTTGGGTGGTGTGGTGTATTAGTTCATTCTGACACTGCTATTAAAGACATATCTGAGACTGGGTAATTTATAAAGGAAAGAGGTTTAACTGACTCACAGTTCTGCAGGGCTGGGGAGGCCTCAGGAAACTTACAATCGTGGCAGAAGGGGAAGCAAACATGTCCTTCTTCACATGGTGGCAGCAAGGAGAAGAGCAGAGCGAAAGGGGGAAAAGCCCCTTATAAAACCATCAGATCTAATGAGAACTCACTCACTATCATGAGAACAGCATGGGGAAACTGCCCCCATGATTCAGTTACCTCCCACTCGTTTCCTCCCATGACATGTAAGGATTATGGGAACTATAATTCAAGATGAGATTTGGGAGGGGACACAAAGCCAAACCATATCTTTCCACCCCTGGCCCCTCCCAAATCTCATGTCCTCACATTTCAAAACACAATCATGCCCTTCCAACAGTCCCACAAAATCTTAACTGATTCCAGCATTAACTCAAAAGTCCAAGTCCAAAGTCTCATCTGAGACAAGGCAAGTTCCTTCTGCCTATGAGCCCGTAAAATCAAAAGCATGTTAGTTACTTCCTAGACACAATAGGGATACAGGCATTGCGTAAACACACCCATTCCAAATGAGAGAAATTGGCCAAAACAAAGGGTCCACAGGGCCATGCAAGTCCAAAATCGAAAAGGGCAGTCATTCAACCTTAAACTTCTAAAATGATCTCCTTTGACTCCATGTCTCATATCCAGGTCACAGTGATGCAAGATGTGGGCTCCCACAGCCTTGGGCAGCTTTACCCCTATGGCTTTGCAGGATACAGCTCCTCTCCTGGCTGCTTTTCACAGGCTGGCATTGAGTGTCTGCAGCTTTTCTAGGTGCATGGTGTAAGCTGTCTGTGGATCTACCATTCTGGGGTCTGGAGGACGGTGGACCTCTTCACACAGCTCCACTAGGCAGTGCCCAGTGGGGACCCTGTGTGGGAGCTCCAGTCCCACATTTCCCTTCTGCACTGCCCTAACAGATTCTCCATGAGGGTTCTGCCCATGGAACACACCTCTGCCTGGATATACAGGCGTTTCCATACATCCTCTGACATCTAGGCAAAGGTTCCCAAACCTCATTTCTTGTCTTCTGTGCACCCGCAGGACCAACACCATGTGGAAGCTGCCAAGGTTTGGGGGGTTGCACCCTCTGAAGCCACCACCTGAGCTGTACCTTAGCCCCTTTTAGCCATGGCTAGAGTGGCTGGGATGCAGGACACCAAGTCCTGAGGCTGCACACAGTAGGGAGGCCCTGAACCCAGCCCATGAAGCCATTCTTCCTTCCTAGGTCTCAGGGCCTGTGATGGGAGGGCCTGCTGTGAAGGTCTCTGACATGCCCTGGAGATATTTTCCCCATTGTCTTGATGACTAACATTAGGCTCCCTGTTACTAATGAAAATTTCTGCAGCAGGCTTGGATTTCTCCCCAGAAAATGGGTTTTTCTTCTCCATTGCATCGTTAGGCTGCAAATTTTCTAAACTTTCATGCTCTGCTTTCTCTTGAACACTTTGCCGCTTAGAAACTTCTTCTGTCAGATACCCAAAATCATCTCTCTCAAGTTCAAAGTTCCACAGATCTCTAGGGCAGGGGCAAATTGCTGCCAGTCTCTTTGCTAAAGCATAACAAGAGTCACCTTTGCTCCAGTTCCCAACAAGTTCCTCATCTCTATCTGAGACTACCTCAGCCTGGACTTTATTGTCCATACCACTATTCAGCGTTTTGGTCAAAGCCATTCAACAAGTCTCTAGGAAGTTCCAAACTTTCCCACAATTTCCTGTCTTCTTCTGAGCACTCCAAACTGTTCCAACCTCTGCCTGTTACCCAGTTCCAAAGTTGCTTTCACATTTTCAGGTATCTTTACAGCAACACCACACTCTACTGGTACCAATTTACTGTATTAGTCTGTTCTCACACTGCTAGTGAAGACATACCCAAGACTGGGTAATTTATAAAGAAAAGAGGTTTAATTGACTCACAGTTCTGCAGGGCTAGGGAGGCCTCAGGAAACTTACAATCATAGCAGAAGGGGAAGCAAACATATCTTTCTTCACATGGTGGCAGCATGGAGAGATGCAGAGTGAAAGGGGGAAAAGCCTCTTATAAAACCATCAGATCTCACCTGAGAACTCACTCACTATTATGAGAACAGCATGAGGGTAACTGCCCCCATGATTCAGTTACCTTCCACTGGTTCTCTCCTATGACGTGGGGATTGTAGGAACTACAATTCAAGTTGAGATTTGGGTGGGGACACAGCCAAACCGTATCATGTGGCAAGGGCCAAAGTCTGCTTGGAGAGGGAATTTTGGAAAAGATAAATTGAAGATAGGAGGTGGGCAGCTCTTTTAGGTAGTCTGACCATAAACAGAAGAGAAAGTAGTGCAAGCTGGGTATGTGGGCATCAAGAGAGTTTTTCCAAGATTAAAAAAAATAACAGCATATTGTATACTTTTGAGAAAAATCCAGCAGAAAGGAGTGATGTCCTTGCTTAAGCAAGAAGGGATAAGAGCTGGTTCTTGGGTGGCAAGGTTGCCCTTTGCTAGCGGTGAGGGAGTGGATCTATAGGAACAGGAGAGGAGGCAGAGTCTGCAGCACAGAAGGCATAACTGCAGGAAATACATATGGGGTACATTGTGCGCCAGGCTATTTATATGCTTTGCATGTATTACTCCTTTTTCATTCTCAACAACTACTCAACAAGGTAGACAATATCATTGTCTATACCTGTTTTACAAATGACAAATTAAGCACAGGATGACCTGCAAATGGAGTAAGACTCCCCATCTAGCAGAAGCAAGATTTACATAGGCAGTTTAGCTGAAGTCTGGGCCCTAAGCCACGGTAGCATGGTGCCTGTGAAGGAGGCCGGGGTGCTGTGAGAGTGAGAGTGGGGCCACTTGGAGGGCCTCCTCTACCGAGTTCTATTTTTCACTGAAATAAGAATTAAGGTTGTTGAATAAGAGAGCTAATGGTAGAGGAGGGGAATGAGGCTTGAGGAGAGAGAGGAAGCTATGAGATACTAATCTGGAAGAGTGGGAGGTGGAATAGACTCTAGTAACTTCTATTTTTCACTGAAATAAGAATTAAGGTTATTGAATAAGAGAGATAATGCAAGAGCAGGTGAATGAAGTTTGAGGAGAGAGAGGAAGCTATGAGATATTAATCTGAAAGAGTTAGAGGTGGAATGG